>NC_000010.11:77870368-78021883 GCF_000001405.40 Homo sapiens
GAAATGTGGAGGACCACATTTAAGGAGCTCCCAGCAGGGCACGGTGGCTCACACCTATAATCCCAGTGCTTTGGGAGGCCAAGGTGGGCAGATTGCTTCAGCTCAGGAGTTTGAGACCAGCCTGGGCAACATAGTGAAACTCCATCTCTATAAAAAATACAAAAAATTAGCTGGGCGTGGTGGCACGCACCTGTAATCCCAGCTACCTGGGAGTCTGAGGTGGGAGGATCACCTAAGCCCAGGGAAGTCAAGGCTGCAGTGAGCCATGATCATGCCACTGCACTTCAGCCTGGGCAACAAAGTGAGATCCTGTCTCAGAAAAAAAAAACAAAAAACACTCTTCCACTGCAATTCTTGACTAGCCACCCTACACGCATCTTTGGACGGGAAAGAGGAGAAATGAAGAAATGGGGGTAAATGGGGGAGCGGGGCAGGGGAGGGAGATGCACTGTAGGTGGGAGGCCCCTGGGGGACAGGAGAGACCTTGAGGGGAAAGCAGGGAGACTTTGCTGGGGAGGTGAGGACCATGCAGGAGGGCAGAGAGATAGACTGCAGGCAGGCGAGCTAGCAGGCGTGTCCATCAGAAAAAGAGATGAAGGGGGAGAGAAAAAAGAGAAAGCAAGCAAAAAGCAACTTTGGTAATGGCAAGCACTAGGACAGGCGTGACCGGCAATGACCAGTAGCCTCATTATCACATTTTCAGAGACTCTGAAGAATCTGAAGGCGTTGAGCATGGGCTGAAGAGAATGACTGGGGAATGGGTAGGTGTCTTGTCTCTCAATACGACTGTCAGAAGGGATTAGATTTGTTCTTGATGGCCTCCAGCAGCCAAACCAGGAGCAGCGGGTGGATGCTGGAGAAAGCTGCATCTCTAAACAGGTCTGGATGGCCACGGTCAGCACTGCCAGGTATGAAAAGCCTGAGGGTGAGGGGGTGAGACAGTGAGGGAGGCCCAGCACTCAGTGGCATGGATGTCATGGGGAAGTCTGTGCATCTGAAGGGAGATGAAACCAGAAAACCCAGTTCAGCCTTAAAATTCTATGATCCTGCTAATAATGAATAACCCATGCTCCACCTCCCATATCTGAAGTCCAACCCACACTATTAGTTTTGCTGTACATTCAATATCTCTGCATTTTTGTCTCAACAAAAACAATAAGCATCACACTTTTTTTTTTTTTTTTTTTTTTTTGAGACAGAGTCTTGCACTGTCGCCTGGGCTGGAGTGCAATGGCGCGATCTCGGCTCACTGCAACCTCCACCTCCTGGGTTCAAGCGATTCTCCTGCCCCAGCCTCCTGAGTAGCTGGGATTACAGGTGCCCACCACCATGCCTGCCTAATTTTTTCTATTTTTAGTAGAGACAGGGTTTTGCTATGTTGGCCAGGCTGGTCTTGAACTCCTGACCTCGGGATCCACCAGGCCTCAGCCTCCCAAAGTGCTAGGATTACAGGCATGAGCCACCATGTCTGGCCTGCATCACATGTTTTTTTAACCCATCTCTCTTTCTATATCATACACATTACATGTTGCTTCAATATCTGTGAAATAAAGTCAAATGCAATTCGGGCAATCCATTGATATCTTCAAAGAACAAGAACCCAACACAATGCCTATTTTCTAAACTCAACTACCATTTTTTAAATAGTATTTTTTCTTTATGGGGGCAAGGAAGGCTAGCCACTGACATGTTGGTGGATTGTTTTTGGAAGACGTCTACTCAGGAAAGCAGGCACAAATAAATTTCCCCACTCTCACCTCCAGAAATCTCTATGCTCAACCCATCCCAGCTTACGACACTGGCAGCCTGCGCTCCAGATGCCTCTGCTGGAACGCTCCCCTCTTTCTTACTCTTGGCATCAGCAGTGCCCCTTCTTCCAGTAAACTGCCCCTCCTCTTCAAATCGTCTCTCTCCTCCCCTGTGGCAAGTTTCCACTGTTAATTAAGCTTGGCAGATGCCCTTCCCTCTCTCCGCCCACCTACCTCCCTGGCTGGGGGAGTCCACAGGCCAAGCGACACGTTCTGTTCCTCTTCCCTGTCCCTGCAGTCCTGACTGGCCTCTGGGGCCTAACCAGGGCAGCGTGACATCTTTGTGTGCATCTCTGGGCATCACTCCCACCCCCAACCCAGGGAGCTGGCAGGGCTCCTAGGAGCTGGTGGGGGGAGTGGTTAAAATTGGACAGGACCCAGTTTTTACAATGTTCCCAGAGCCTTGGACGTCATTAAGGGGGAAAAAAGGCCCAAAGACGACATTGTCTCGGTCATGCTTTGTCTCTGCGGTTATTGTTGTCCTAAAGGCCTGTGTGGTCAGGACAGTCAGGAAAAGGCAAAAGAAGCCACTGTCCCCCAAAGTCACACGGTGTCCTTTCAAGGCCGGTTGCTTCCATGGGGCGGAGGGGCAGGTGTCGGCGTCATCTACCTCTGGGGTTTCGCCATCAAATTTGGAGTCAAATTTGGTGCTCCTCATCTTCTGCCATGGCCCAATCCAGGAGGAGACAATTTCCCCAGGTTCTCCTGAAGGCACCTCCACCCAACCTGCCCTGAAACCTAGGATGGGCTGCTGTGGAAGGAGAAACAGTGTGGAGGGACATTCTCTACCTCACAGAGTGCCCAGGGCTAAGGGGGACTGTAGGATCAGCCTCCTGATGTGTGTGTGTGTGTGTGCACACACACACACACACACACGAGAGGAGGGCACCAACCACAAACTTGTGCAAGCTACCAAGTACCATGCAGAGGTGCTGATGAGATCCAGAGAAAGTTGGATGATGTGGAAACATTTCCAGAAAAGGGGAGCTTGAGGCCAAGTTTAGACGTGGACATGTGGGCCAGAGCGTGATATAAGGAGATTCTTTACTATCAAAGGAACTACCTGGGCAACGTAAACTCTTATTCAGCAGATGAGGGTGGGGTTTCAGAATGCATTTCTCACAAGCCCCCAGGGCACATGCTCTACACACTGGCCCAGAGCTGGAGTCCACAGGTGGGATGCACATGGAAGCTGCAGCCAAAACCCTGGGAGAGGTGGAAGGAAGCCACTGGGAGGAAGCCAGCCTGGTGACCCTCTGGGACTGGCCCACGGGCACTGTCTGTGTCCTTTCCAAGAGCCCAGCCCCTGATAATTCTGTTTACCCCGTGACTCAGTGCCACTGGGTCACGAAGACCACTTCAAAAGAAATTCCAGGAAAAACCACCCGAACAATAATGGAATGCCCCAGCCCTCCCAGGCCCCCTCCCATAGACCATGAGGCCCAAGAGAGATGGAAGCACGCCCCCAACACACCCCTTCCATTCACCTGGAGCTTGTAAAGGCCCTGGTGACTCACGCTTCCTCTTCGTGAAGCTCACAGTGGCTGAAGGAACTTGTTCCAGCCTTGAACCAGCACACAGAGTTCTCCCTGTCCTCCAGAAGGGCCCAGGCAGAAAGGCAGAGAGCTGACGGCTCACGGTCACAGGGAGGCCAGCACCCCCTACCTCAATCCCCAGGGAAAGGAGAGGGAGACACCAAGCTGCTACTCTCTGGAGCTCTGGGGTCCCTGAAGACAGAGCAGGAAGTGCTGCCTGGGCCCCAGGAGGACAGTCACTTTCAGGGCACCTGCCACATCCTGCCGCCCTCCTCCAGCTCACACTGAGGAACCACAGCCTGACGAACCACAGCAGAATGACCGAAGGTGCCCAATCGCTCCCGGACTCACACGTGTCAGCCAGGTTTCCAACACGTGCCCCCCGCCTAGCATGGCACTGGGCCAGGTTCGGGAGAAAGAATGGCAAGCCAGGGGCTCAAGAGCCTGGAGGTTACTCATCTGCTGTGAGTAGCCTTCAGAAGAAGGCCCTTCTCTCTGAGCCAAACAATAATGATTGCAGCACAGCTGGGGCCAAACTGCTTGGAGTTAACTCCCAGCCCAGCCCCTTATGAGCTGTGTGCTGTTAGGTAAGTCACTCTGCCTCTCTGTGCTTCCACATACTTATCAGTAAAATGGGATGATAGAAGTGCTTATCTCTTAGAGCTGTTTGAGGATAAACTGATTTAATGCAGGTTGAGTATCCCTAATCCAAAAATCTCCAAAATCTGAAACTTTTTGAGCACCAACATGACACCACAGCAGAAAATTCCACACCTGACCTCATGTGATGGGCCAGTCAAAATGCAGGCGCAGGATACAGTTTATTCTGCTTCCTCAAAGGAAAAACAAAATTATCTTCAGGCTATGTGTATATAAGGTGTATATGAAATGAGAATACGTTTCACATCTAGACTTGGGTCCTATCCCCAAGATATCTCATTATGTATATGCAAATATTCCAGAATCTAGAGAAATCCAAACCCCAAAAACACTTCTGGTTCCAAGGATTTCAGATAAGGGATATTCTGCCTGTTTGTGAAAAGTGACTGAAACAGTACCTCGCATAGCCGGTACTCTAAGTGTTAGCTGGTGTTATTATGGTCAGTCCAGACCTGCAGAGGGCCCTTCCAACTCTGCTGTTCAATTCCTCAATTACCTACATGGAAAGCTGTACTAGAGTGACAAGTCACACAATCTACAAGCAAACTGCTGCACTGTATATGGCACTCTCAAGAAAAATAATAGCAGCTAATAGGTACTAAGCACTACTAAGTACTGGGACTGTGCTAAGCACTTTGCATGTATTGCCTCCATTAATTTCCATAACAACCCAAAGGTTGTCATTATTAGTCCCATTTCACAGAGGAAGAAACTAAGAGTTAGAAAAATTAATTTGCTGAAGGTCGTGCTAGGGCTACTAAGAGCACAAACAGGATACAAACCCAGGCAGTCTACCCCAGCGCCTGTGCTCTCAAATCCTACACACAATACTGCTGCCCGGCTCCACAGGGAAGAGCAGTCAGAGAGGACTTCATGGAGGCAGGGGCCTGGAGCTGGCCCTGAAAGGTGGTGGCCTTGGATAAGCACATGAGAAGCCCGATCAGCTTGCAGGAGACAACAGGCGGAACCCATTTCTCTGGAAGGGTAAGAAGTCTCAGAGCAGGGCTGGCTTGGGCCAAGGCCCCCCAGCCTCTATTCCCTGGGAATGGGCTCACCTCCTCCCTGCCCACCTCCCCACACCGAGACAACACTCAATAGGCATTCTGAGCTGAGCCACTTCCACCCAAGTGGGAAGAAAGAGAAGGAGCTGTGGCTTCATGGCCCCCATTCCATACCCATGCCTGTGCTGCCTGCAGAGGGGAGTCGCAGTGTGTGGGCAAGCCTGCACTCAAGAGCCACTCAATTCTGTGAACTGCAGAGATGAGGAAGGAGGTGACCGTGAAAGTTGCGGAGTGCTATCACCTTTGGCAGAGCCCACCTTCTCTGTTTTAAAGACCTCCTGGGATGCTGGGGGGACAGAGGGCTCATATCCTACTATTAGGCTACTAGGAAGCCTGCTTGCAGAACCATGCTCAGTTCTCAGGAGGGAAGAAAGGTGGCAGGGAAAAAAAAAAGAAAAGAAAAAACTACACTCAGGGCAGCCCCAGCCCCTCCCTAGGGGCTCGGCCTCCTACCCTTTAAAAGCACGGCCCAAGGCTACAGACACTGAAACCCAAACTGGGAAGCGGACAAGGCCCAGTATTTCAGGGAGGTATAGGTTGACCATGGCCCTGGAATGGAGCAACCACAGACACTGGCATGTCATCAAGGAAGTCCTGCTGATGCGCCTTATATGCCACCCGAGGGTGGGAAAATCCTACTCTTGGTTTGTAAGTTAAGATTTAATATTTGTTTTCCTCAACTGAGATAATGCTATAGTATTTTCCACCAAGTTTTGGAACAAGCAGCATCACTGCGCTAAAAAAAAAAAAAATCATAATGATGTGGATTCCCCCTATTTCTGGTCGTTATAAGAACTGCTCACCTATCTTTAAAAGGTAAAGGTGGCCAGGTGAGGTGGCTCATGCCTGTAATCCCAGCACTTTGGGAGGCTGAAGCAGGAGGATCACTTAGGTCAGGAGTTCAAGACCAGCCTGGGCAATATAGCAAGACCCCATCTCTCTTTTTTTTTTTTTTTTTTTGAAAGAGAGTCTCACTCTGTTGCCCAGGCTGGAGTGCAGTGGCACAATCTTAGCTCACTGTAACCTCCACCTCCCAGGTTCAAGCTATTCTCGAGCCTCAGCCTCCTGAGTAGCTGGGACTACAGGCATGCACCACCATGCCTGGCTATTTTGTATTTTTTAGTAAAGACGGGGTTTCACCACGTTGGCCAGGCCGGTCTCGAACTCCTGACTTCAGGTGATCCACCCCAAAATGCTGGAATTACAGGCATGAGCCACCACACCCAGCCAATCCCATCTTTTTTTTCTAAGAGGAAGGAAGGAAGGAAGGAAGGAAGGGAGGGAGGGAGGGAGGGAAGGAAGGGAAGGAAGGAAGGAAAAAAAAAAAGTAAAGGGGAAGGGGCATTGCCCAGATAATTGGAGATTTAACCTCAGGTATGCAGTGAGATCTGTGTGGGGTGGCAGGAAGGAAGATGATGGCTGCCGAGCTCTCTGTCCATTCTTTTTTTTTTTTTTAAACTTTATATTTTAAAATAAATAGAGACAGGGTCTCTCTTTGTTGCCCAGGCTGGTCTCAAACTTCTAGGCTCAAGCAATCTGCTCGCCTCAGCCTCCCAAAGTGCTGGGATTACAGGTGTGCGCCACCACACCTGGCTTTTGTGTCCATTCCTTAACACATTCCCTAACCCCTTCCCACTGGACTTTTGAGGCCATTTATAAAATAATGAACTAAATTGCCTGAACCTGAGAAAACTCTCGTATCAATTTTGCCATCTGTGACTCCCCTCCCTTCCCCACCCAAAATGCCCCAAGGCAAAAATATGTAAAGAGAGGGAAAACAAAACATGTGCACCCCAGAATTAAATCATTCAGTACCATGCAAGACCCTTCACTCGCTAACTACAGGACTGGTTTTGGTCTTTTTCTTTACTTTTTTTTTTTTCCTCTTTTAAGTGGCAAGTGACAGGGACTAAAAAAAAATAAAATAAAACTAGCACATAAAGGAAAGATGGAAGTTTGTTGAATTTCGAGGGATGAAAAGAGTCCACAGTTGGATAGCCTGCTTGTCTTCATCAGCGAAGCAAAGGCTCCTGGAGGCTTTGGGATGAGCACAAAGCCTGTGTCTGATGAAAGCCACCCTCTTTGTTCTGCCTCCCTTCAGAGCTGCCGGGCTGCAGGTTGGGGATGGGAGCAGGGAGGGAGGGAAGGCAGTGGGAGGACCTAAGACCATCAAACCTGACACCAGGTGGGACCACCTCTCGGTTCCTGCTTTCCATCACCAAAACCAAGCCCTGCTCCCTGCTGTCACTTCTGGCCAGACTAAGACAGTTCTGCACCTAAAAGGCACAGGAGGAGGCCCAAAGAGGGTCTGATTAAGGAGGAGGATGGGGCCATCGTGCTATGCCCTGGAAGGTGGGGGTGGAGGGGGGACAACGAACATAGCCAAGCCTGACAGCACCCACAAGGCGAGGTGTGAAGGAGTGGAGCAGCGCCTCTGCCCCGCCACCCTGACAGCACATGTCACACCAAACCCAGACAGGAAATCTGAGCAGCAGGGGCACCCAAGAGGCAGCCAAGCCTCCATTATGCTCCAGCCGGACATCCCCCGGGGGCCATGTCTGCCCTAGAATAAACTTCTGATAAGCCCCAGAAGTCACAACAGGCAGGAAGCAGCTCTCTGAAAGGCACCGGGCACCCCCGGCTCCCTCCTGCTCTGGCCCGGTGCTCAATTTCCACTAGTCAGTAAATGGAGAAGAGGCTGCCTCCCTCCCACACAGGATGGAGCGCATACCTTGCAGAGTACACTGCCCTCCACCCTCCCAGGGCAACTGTAGCAAGGCAGGCTCTGCGTCAGACCGGCTGGCTCAGGCCTGCCACTCACCAGCTGTGTGACCTCAAATAAGTTGCTTCTACTTTCTGTGCATTTCCTCATTTATAAAATAGGAAGAATAGTAGGTGATGAGAACAGAATGAGCAACGAGAGGGAAAGCCCTTAGAACAGAGCCAGGCGCACAGCAAGCGATCCACAAACACCAGCTCTCGTTACTGTTACCGTCTCACAGGCTCCTAAGGAAGGCAGGGCATGGGGTGGCCTCTGCAGTGTACACAGACAGCAGATGCTATGGAAGGGACCTGGAGGACAGTCACGCAGCCTTCCCTTGACTTCTGGAGTGTTTTGCTGGTTAGAAGCTCTGCATTGAGTACTCTGTATACTTCCCATCACCATCTCCCTCAGGAGCTAATGCTTCCCCCTCAACCCAGCCATGAGTGTCGCCTCTCAATACCTGAATACAGCTCTATCTATGCCTGTGGATAAGGAGGCTTCCTCTCCCCTCCCACCATTCCACGTGGCCATGGCAATTCCAAGCCATCCCCAGCATCCCTTATGATTTCTGGTTCTCTGGTTCACAAAGAAAAAACCAGAGCGCTCACAGTGTGCCTGGAA
Source organism: Homo sapiens (assembly GCF_000001405.40). Classification (NCBI taxonomy): domain Eukaryota; kingdom Metazoa; phylum Chordata; class Mammalia; order Primates; family Hominidae; genus Homo; species Homo sapiens. Next base: position 77,878,818 of record NC_000010.11, read on the forward strand.
TCATACCAGGCTTGCACCTCCACTCATCCAGTCCTGGCTCCCACCACCTACATACAGACATCAGTCAGTGCCCTGTAAAAGATGCTACGCATTGGTGGGCATGTCTGTCCCCGGAAACACAAGGCCCACTCATTCGCCAAACGCTGGGTTAATGCTGGGTGAAGTACTGGGATGCAGCAGGAAGCAAGATGGACAAATCCCTGCCCTCATGGAGCTCACATGAACAGGGTGACAGGGGCGGGGGAGAAATAAACAAACATAAACTGTATTGGGTAGTAAGTGCTATGAAGAAAAATGTTGCAGAGTTAAATGGTAGGTGGTGGGGGTGGAGAGGAGATGTGGCTATTGTACAGCGGTGGCAGGGGTCTCTCTGGGCAGGTCATCTTTCCCCAGAGACCTAGAGGAAGCGTGGAGTGCCAGAGGAGGGAATAGCAAGTGCAAAGGCCCTGGGGCCACCCCATGCGGGGAGACCTGTCTGCTGTGGGTGGAGGGACCTGGAGGAGGATGCAGATGAGGTCACAGGGGCAATAGGACAGCTCCAGGCAGAACCTTATGGGCCACACAGAGGATGCAGGGCTTTATTCAGAGTGAGACGGGAAAACTCTGGAAGGTTCTGAGTAGAGGAAAGCCATGATCTGACTTACATCTACTTAGGCTCATTAGATGATTTGTTGAATGTTGTCCACAAGCAGGGAAGCATAGAAACAAGTCAGACAGCAAACTCGCAAGTCCAGGGGAGCAATGCTGGGGGTCTGGACCAGAGTGACAAGAATGGTGTTGGTGAGAAGTAGCTGGATTTGAGGGATATTTTGGAGCTTTTCTTTCTTTCCTATTCCACATTTGGCTTGGAGCAGAGCTGAAAGGATCTGCTCATAGGCCCAATGTGGAATAGGAAAGAAAGAAAAGTCAAGGATGACTCCAGGGTTCTTGGCCTGGAAACTGGAAGGATGATGTTGGTCCTTGCTGAAAGGGGGAAGCCTGCAGGAAAAACAGATGGGGGAGGGAGTTGGGGAATCATGAGTTCCCGCGGGGCCTGGTCATGCGTGAGGTGCCTACAGACACACAAGGGAGGTGTCAGGCAGGCAGATGGATGTACAGGCCTCAAGTTCACTGACAAGGTCATGGCTAGAGATGTAATCTGAGAATTGTCAGCATATGCTTAGTATTTAAAGTGATGAGCCTTGATAAAATCACCCAAGGAAGGAGTACAGACAGCAAGGGCAGTGGAGAGGTCCAAGGAATGAACCTGAGCATGCAGGGGCTAAGGGAAGAGAAGAGAAATCAACCAAGAAGACAGAGGAGAAGTGGGTAGTGAGATGGGAGAGTCGACCACACAAGTAAAGAAACTGAACACAGCCGGGTGCAGTGGCTCACACCTGTAATCCTAGCACTTTGGGAGGCCAAGACGGGTGGATCACCTGAGGTCAGGGTTTCAGGACCAGCCTGGCCAACACAGTGAAACCCCGCCTCTACTAAAAATACAAAAATTAGCCGGCCATGGTGGCGCATGCCTGTAATCCCAGCTACTCAGGAGGCTGGGGCAAGAGAATTGCTTGAACCCAGGAGGCGGAGGTTGCAGTGAGCTGAGATTGCACCACTGCACTCCAACCTGGGCAACAGAGTGAGACTCCATCTCAAAAAATAAATAAAAACAAACAAACAAACAAACTGAACACAACTGCATGTGGTCAGGTCTTAAGAGAGGTGCTCAGATATGCCCATGTTGCTTAATGGTGAAGGTAAGACAGACACACAATCCTCCCGACTCCTGATCAAGCTGAATCTGCACTCCACCTACCCCCTGAACTTCCCCAGTTATCAAGGAGGCTGATGGAAATGAGGCAGAGCATTAGGGAGACCCTTCAGTGTATACTAGGCATCCTACATGGCACAGCTCATGTTTTTGTTGTTACACTCTACTCATATCAGGTAACATTTATTGAGTACTTGTTGCAAGAAAGGCACTATTTGTATGGATTATTTCATTTAATTCTCCCAACAATCCTACAAGGTGGGCCACTATCAACTCACCTTCTAGATGAAGAAATGTAGGCTCAGAGAAGCCAAGTAACTTGCCCAAGGCCACAAAGCTAGTAAGCAGAGGGTCCCAACTCAAGCAGGACTCTCATCCACTAACCCTAGACCTTTTTTTTTTTTTTTTTTTTTTTTTTTTGAGACAAAGTCTCACTCTGTCACCCAGGCTGGAGTGCAGTGGTGTGATCTCAGCTCACTGCAACCTTCATCTCCCGGGTCCAAGTGATTCTCCTGCCTCAGCCTCCTGAGTAGCTGGGGTTACAGGCATGTGCCTCTGTGCCTGGCTAATTTTTGTATTTTTAGTGGAGATGGGATTTCACCATGTTGGCCAGGCTAGTCTTGAACTCCTGACCAGACCTCCTCCTTTCTGACAAGATCAGAAAAAGTGATACTCACTAGTTCCTTCTCCCACTGGATAGAAAAAGATGCAAGCAGGCATCCCTCGCCCAGTGTCAACACTCAGGGAACAGGAGATACCTAGTAATCACTACTGGCAGGTCAGGAGCTCTTCTCCAAGCAGGCATGCTATCTCGTGGCCAGCATGCAGCACTGTGGCCAAGGCCATCTTTCCAACAGAAGGAAAAAAGGGAAGCATGAGAAAGAAGGGTTCCAGTCACCTCTGTCACAGCTCAGCTGCCAGCCTTGTCCTCTAGTCCTGGCTTCAACCTCTCTGGCCTTGTCACTCCTCTGGCCGTGGATTTCTCTGGTCCCCCTCAGAAGAGACTAGTACTGTCTCTGGAACAAGCTAGATAAATATCTCCATCCTGGGTCTTTAGAAGGCAGCAAGAAATGGAGTGGGCCAATGGAGTTTCAGGAAGCTGTTTATGATTCTGATGCTTAGACCAAATGCAAAAGAACTGTAAAGGTGTCCCTCCCCCACTGTCCCTTCGTGCCACACCATCCCATAATGGCATGTTCCATTAATCTCAGCTCAAGGTAAGCTGAGTCATCAGCCAGAGAAAATGATGGCTCTGGGAACTGCCCAAGTCACATGGCATGAGCTGGGCATTAGGCAAGGACATGGCATCCCAGGCTTCACAGGTCGGGGACATTCTGTCCACAAAGGCCAAAGAGGGCAACTACAAAGGAAAAGTCTTATCTAAGACATCAGCAAACGGGTGCTGTTTCTGCCCCCTCTTTCTTCAATGTCATCTACACTGCCCTCCTCATCTACTTCGTGGGCTGCATTGAGAATCACTGACCACCAAGGCAACTCAGCCTGGGTCTGTAGTAGCAGCAACTAGGGCTCCTGAGGTCATGGAGAACCCCTTGCCCACCACAATATTCCTGCTGAGTTTGAACTCGTCAGGACCCCTGCCATAGGGCGGGAGGCACAAAGTGACCCCATACTGTGGAAAGGGCCCAGGATCAGGAGCTGGATGGACATGGGCTCCCTCTGCTTTGGCCACCTCCTAATCAGTGACCAGGAGCAAATACTTTTTCTGAGCCTCGGTGTCATTTGCACACTGAGGCTAAAAGTCTTTATACAGTCAGTATTTCACAGGCTGTCGTGCAGAGCAAATGAAATACTGGATGCTGAAAGTGCTTCGTAACTGCTAATAAATGATCCATTTTTCACCTCCTCAGGAGGCTCAGGTCTATCTCTGTCCCCGACTCCACTGCAAATCTTTCCCAGTCTTCCTTCATGCTTCTCTCTACTTTCCACTGTCAGCCTCTTCTCTTCCACAAACTCCTTCTTCCTTCTACTCTTATTCAAAACACAAACAACAAAAACAACAAACATGCATACAAAAGGAAAAGGAATTAAAACGCAAGAAGGCCAGGTGCAGTGGCTCACGCCTGTAATCCCAGCACTCTGGGAGGCTGAGGCAGGTGGATCACTTGAGGCCAGGAGTTGGAGACCAGCCTGGCCAACATGGTGAAACCTCGTCTCTACTAAAAAAATACAAAAAAAAAAAAAGTCAGCCTGGTGTGGTGGTGCACGTCTGTAATGCCAGCTACTCGGGAGGGTGAGGCACGAGAACCTGGGAAACAGAGGTTGCAGTGGGCCGAGATCACTCCACTGCACTCCAGCCTGGGTGCACTCCAGCGAAACAATGTCTCAAAGAAAAAAAAAAAAAACACCCAAGAGCTTCACCTCCATTTCTCTCCATTAGAGGTGTCCAAAATCTCTGGGCCCTCAGGGTGGACCACACCTCACCTAGTTTCACGCAATTCTACGCTGACTTTCATTACTATGGGTGAAAGCTCCAGCTTCTGGGCCTTGGAGTTCAAGAATGCCCAGGGTTTTTGAACACAGGAATAAGCAAGCAGGTATGAGCTTCAGGAACCTGTCTCCAGCAACTGTGAACTGGAAGGATGGAAGCAGGGAGAGCCTGGAAGCTGAGAGAACAGTTAGGATGTTCCCACAAGAGCTGCCCTTAACTACTGGTCATGGGGTACGGGTAGGGAGAGGGCCCAAGACCACAGGTAGGGAAGAATGGAGGATGGTGCTGAGGTTTGTGGTTGGGGCATCCCAGAAGGTGACACAGTTAACAGAGGCAGAGGATTAAAGGAGGAGGAATGAGATCGTTGAAATCCATCAGGTAGAATGCACTAAAGAAAATCCCTGTGAAGACAGCCTGCTGACACTCAGAAACTGGAATGTGGCACCACAGAGAAAGTTTCAGGCTAACACAGTCCACTCCAGAGTCACACCATTGAGCCTGCAGGATGTGAGTGACAAGCCCAGAGTCACTAATTGGTAATGTGAAGCCCCTGGGTTAGAAAAAAACATAAGACTCAATTTGAACAATGTCATTGGGAAAGAAAAAGAAAAAACAGAGGAGAGGGCTGGATCTATGGACCCCCTAAACAGTGACTATGAAGTAACATTGTTCTTTTTTTTTTTTTTTTTTTTTTTGAGACGGAGTCTCCCTCTGTTGCCCAGGCTGGAGTGCAGTGGTGTGATCTCAGCTCACTGCAACCTCCCCCTTCTGGGTTCAAGCAATTCTCCTGACTCAGCCTCCCAAGTAACTGGGATTACAGGTACCTGCCACCAGAAGTTGGCTAATTTTTTGTATTTTTAGGAGAGACAGTGTTTTGCCATGTAGGCCAGGCTGGTCTCAAACTCCTGACCTCAGGGGATTCACCCACCTCAGCCTCCCAAAGTTCTGGGATTACAGGCGTGAGCCATCACGCCTGGCCTGAAGTAACATTGTTCTAAGTGTATATAAAGTTCAGAATCTGGGGAAATACTTCCTGTGAAGACAGGAGGAAAAAATGAGTTTCTGGAAAAGACATAGAAAGATCACTTGGAGCAGGGGTAGGAGGAGCAAGAGAATGATGCATCCTAGAAGGCAATGGGGTGGAGGGAGCCTGGAGGGGTTGGTCTGCCACACCAAATGCTAGGGAGGACTCGGAAGCAAAGAAACTTCTGATCTGGTCATTTGGAGGTCAAAGATGCTATGCATGGAGTCAATTAAGCAGGCAATTGATTGGCCCTGTTTCTCCATCTGAGAATTGAAGGGCTTGGATAAGACCAGAAAAGGCACAAGGTGCATCTTGAAAGAGCAGCCATGCATCACACCGCCTGCCTGAGTACTGTGCCTAAAGCCATACCTCAGCTCACTGGGAAAGGACCCCACAGTGGATCAGCAACGTCTGCCTTGGGCAAGTCGGGCAAGAGTATCTCATCCCCGGAGCACATTGTTTCTACAGACCTGTCCACCTCCAGAGACATGGTTCATGGTGGTCGGCACTTAGCAGGCTTCCCGTAATTAATTACTGATTGGAATTAAACTCTGCAATCTAATCTGTGTCTCTGACATCCTTTAAATGACTGTGACTCAAGGAGCGCTCAGGGAAAAATAAAAGGACAATTATCTTTTTTCCATCGACTTCTTTTGAGGCCCCGAGAAACAGAAAGTCTGAGAGTTTGGCTATCAGAGGCGCTCTGGGCAGCCCTGCCCAAAGCAGATGATCCTCCAATCCAAGACGGGCCCTCAGATGTTCCAAACATGCTTCCTCTCCGATAAAGTAACACCGTCCAGGAGGGTTCACCCTCATTTTCACAGTACTCGGTGTGCATTTTGGAAATGGCGGACTTCAGAAGTCCATTCCTGAAACTGCTGGGACTCTTTCCAATGTTTTACAGAAAGGACGCTGCACACACTTACCTGCAGACATCCACTGAGGTATCCAACGCTCACCTTTGTCACACCCAGAGCAGGAGTGAGCTTTTAAATGAGACTTTGGGTACTATACACTCAGGCTGTCACCTCCTATCCCCCCACAAATAAAGATAAAACAGCACAAGCATTCTTCGCCCTAAAACCCTATAGCAAGCTTTCATCATGACCCATTCCACACCTGTCATCTCAGTACATTCAAGTGCTCACATGGGCCCTCAGCTAGAGCATGAGCCCATTCTTAGATGCCTACGCTCAGAAAACAGGCCCATGCTACTCTTTGTTTAAATGCAGAAAGAGGAGCTCCCCCTAAAACACTCCAAGCAAAATCTGGACACACAATGCCTTCAAATTGCCCCAAGTCAACCACAGAAAATGGAAGAGGAGATCACAGAAGGATTTCAAATGCATAAAGGGATGTAGATTATCTTTCACACGTGGGCAATGCTCAGAAAAGTTGATCTTGAGTAACGAGGGAAAATATTTCATTCACTATCTTGTGCAAAGAGAAAAAAACCAAAATCCACATCCACGACCCTGGAGTACAGCAAATGGAATCAAAGTGTGCCAGCCCCCAAAGATTCCAGCCTCCTGCAGCTCCTGACCCTCTGGCCATTTGCAGGGAGCTCTGCAGGCAGTCTCATCTCAATGGACTGGGACCCTCCAGCCTGCACCACTATGGCTGCTCTACTCTCCCTGCCCCCTGAGCAAGGCAAATGCTTAGTGAAAGTGTGAAGAGTAAGAGTTGAATCTGCATTTTCTAGTCAGACTTCAGCCCTCTCATAGTTTAAGGGGCATCCCCTCTACCGTCCAGCCCTGACATCCTACAGGTGTTCAGAGGGGGCGTGACTGAGCCAGGTCACACAGCAAGCTGGTGCCAGTGCCAGGAGTGAAACAAGCCCACAACTCTGATGAGCAGGATGAGAGGAGGAAGGGGATGAAGGAAGTGCCCTCCAGCGAAGGCAAGAGTGCAGGAATCCCTAGGTAGAGAAAGGTCCCCCCAGATAAGCACCTGGACACCCTGTGCAGGCTGTGAGAGCCAACAGAGAGGGGCAGTCGGTCAACAGAGCTTCTGGCCAATGGCTCCCAGCCTGGCTGTTCATCAGAATCATCCAAGCTGCTCTTTAAAAATGCTGGAAAAAAATAAAAATAAAAACCAAAAATGTCTCAGGACCCCTTCCTATCCCCAGGAATCAGCACCTCCAGCATTCCAGGCTTTTAAGATGCTGCTCAGAGTCTCTGGTGAGTGGCTCAGTTGGGGAATACCACCAGGGTCTGCACACGCACCCTGGGCTTCCTGCCCTCTGAGCTTCCTGAACACTGCCACTGACCCTCAGCCAGAAATGCTTGCCCCCTTAGGGTACCGTTGTCACTAGAGAACCGTGTGAGAGTAGTAATGTTGCTTTTTTTTTTTTTGGAGACAGAGTCTCGCTCTGTCACCCAGGCTAGATCTCAGCTCACTGCAACCTCCACCTCCCAGGTTCGCCTCAACCTCCCGAGTAGCTGGGATTACAGGCACACACCACCAGGCCTGGCTAATTTTTTGTATTTTTAGTAGAGATGGGGTGTCACTATGTTGGTCAGTCTGGTCTTGAACTCCTGACCTCAAGTGATCTGCCTGCTTTGGCCTCCCAAAGTGCTGGGATTATAGGCGTGAGCCAACGCGCCCTGCCAGTAATGCTGCTCTTATGGGCTGAAGTGTATTCCCCCAAAATCCATATGTTAAAGCCCTAACCCCTTCTGCAGTTCCTCAAAATATGACTGTATTGGAAGATAAGGTCTTTAAAGATGTAATAAAGTTAATATGAGGCCATGAGGGTGGGCCCTAATCCAAAATGACTGGCATCCTTATAACAAGAGATCAGGACACAGACATGCACAGAAGGAGAACTGCATGAAGAACTGCACGGAGAACATGGCCATCTGCAAGCTAAGGAAAGAAGCTTCAGAAGAAACCTGCCCATCTGACGCCCTGACCTTGGACTTCCAGCCTCCAGAACTGTGAGATAATCCATGTCTGTTGTTTAAGCTTCCTGGTCTGTGATACTCTGTATGGCAGCCTTAGCAAACTAATACAGTTGCAACCATTTACCCATGCTCTGTGCAGGCCCTTCCAATACAGACATCACCCACATACACTATCTCACTTAAAACTTCAGCCCCCAGGACAAACGTATTGCTGTTAGCCCCATTTTACAGACAAGAACCCCAAGGCTCTCCAAGATCAAGGAACTAACCCAAGATCATTCAGCTAGAAAGTCAATGACCAGATGCACCCACCTCCCAGCCCTTTGCCTGTAACTGCTCCTGAGCTGCCTGAGTCCTCAGTCCTCTCTGCCATCCGTCCTGGGCCCACTCAGCAGCTGCAGTCCTACCCCACCTGGATGAACACTGTCTGAGCCCACTGTGCCTTCTTTCCCAGCCTCAGGCCCCCAGCAGACACTTCAGGGGAACACTGACTTGCTATCATCTGTAGTTTTTGAAACTTTTTCTTTCTTTTATTTTTTAAATAAGCACTGTTGCTTTGGTAGTCAGAAAAAAAAATTAATATTAAAGAGAAAAAAGCTAACACGGTTAAGAGTTTCTATTGAATCTGTAGCCTGTGTGGAAAGAAAGAAGTGATCAAAAGGAATATATTTGGAAAGGCTACTAAGAATAAAAACAAACAAAAAAAATACAAGCTGCCCTTGCCAATGTCCCATCAGCTGAGATGAGATAAGAGATTCATGGGGCAGAAGTAAGGCTGCTGAGGCCAGAGATCCCAGCCAGGCCATCTCCAGAAAATATCTATTTTTAAAGTCACGTTCCATTTCATCACATTTCAGAAAAACAAAGAAGAGACCTTGAGGGACAGACAAACAGGCTCCAGAGCCACACGCCTTTGTGTGTGCTCACAGCAGCAGCAGCCGTGCCTACAGCCAGCCGGCGATTTTCATCTGAAAAACTCAGATCTCTCATGGCAGAGAGAGTTCCACACCGAGCTGCCATCATCATGCAGCCCAACAAAGCAGCAATTTTCATATTTCCTAGGGCCTGCTGGGCTCCCAACTTCTTAGTTTAAATGGAAACTGTCAGACAGGATTTTGTGCAAACATGCGTTTTCCTCGGGGGCAAACATTCTGAGCCTACAACTTGTTCTTTCATTTTGAGAGCTTTTTGTCCATGGTGACTACATCAAAGATGAGAGGTGGGCGGGGAGGGCTGTTGGGGAGCACCAGAGAACAGAGCAAATGCAAAGTGCAGGGAGAGCAGAATGAATTACTAGGAGGCAAAGTGCGGCAGGAACTTATGTGCCTGGCCTCCTCCTGGGCAGCAGCCTCAGAGGAAAGACCTTGGCTGGCTCTGCTCCCCACCTCTCCTGCAGCCCCTGCGTGGACAGCCCAGTCTGTGTCAGCACCTCTTCCCTCGGGTGACCTACAAGGTCCTGGAGAGGAAAATGGTAGCAAAGAATGTGCAAAAAACCATGATGACAGAAGACAGCAGAATTCCCATATGAATAGGATTAGGTAAGAAGGGGTTAAATGTGTTAATATTCATCAGGCGGAGCTTTGCGACATAGTTTTAGGCAATGGTACTGACTCTTCTGGAATCATTTTAAAGGGCCACTCGCTTTTTCATTATAAGTCCATTCACTGGAGCCTCTTAAGATAGTCTCAAAAGACAGATAGGAATGCGCCCAAATCCACCTGCGCACCAACACCGTGTGCCAAGCAAATGGAATCCTCGGGAAAGGACACCCATTAAGGACCATCCCAAACCCCGTTAATATGTACATGTTCCTCTCAAGCTTTATGCATTAAACCAAGTCAACTAATATTTTCCAAGCTCTTTTAAGATGTGTGGTCTTTTATATGTGGGTTGTGTGTGTGTTTGAGGGGTAGTGACGAAGACACCCCCATCAAGATAACTGAAGAAGAACTGCCCAAACTGAAACATTCAAATCTCCAAACGTCTCCATTCCCCCTAGGTGTTTGCATTTCAGTGGATAAGATGAACACCTGGCTGTGAAGCCCACAGGTAACCTCCCAGGCCTCACAAGCCCACAGGTAACCTCCCAGGCCTCACAAGCCCACAGGTAACCTCCCAGGCCTCACAAGCCCACAGGTAACCTCCCAGGCCTCACAAGCCCACAGGTAACCTCCCAGGCCTCACAAGCCCACAGGTAACCTCCCAGGCTTCACAAGCCCACAGGTAACCTCCCAGGCCTCACAAGCCCACAGGTAAACTCCCAGGCCTCACAAGCCCACAGGTAACCTCCCAGGCCTCTGCCAAGCAGAACCAATGAAGTCTGTTGACACAAGTCACTAGGGAAAAAAAAAAAAAAAAGTCTCTGCAACTCTGTGCTCCCCATTATCAGAGAAAATGAGGTCTGTTCTGGGCCTCCCAGCTCTGAGCTGGCTGCCCTGGGTGCAGCCTTCCCCAAAAACTCTGGGTATCCAGCCCTCACCCGTGCTGACAGCGCACTCTGTCCACCAGCTCATGACAAAGGCCACTTGTTTCCCATGAGTGTCCAGAACAGTGGCTGAACCAGTCAACCCAGTCGGGGACTGTGGTCCTGCTGGATGGGCGGTGACAAGAGCTCACTGTGACCTCAGCAGACAATTAGCAAGGCGGTGTCGAGTTACTGAGCTCCAGCAGGTCACCTGCTAGGCTGGGAGAATGGACAGAATGCAGGTTCCAGACCCAAGAAGGGGTTAGGCAGGGTCACAGGCTACTTCATCTGCCTCCGTATCTTTATGCTAAGCACTGCACCCTCTGACATTGGAGGGCAAGAAAAGAAAAGGTGTTACAAGGAGGAGGCTAGAACCTATCCCAGGAGTAATCTGAGAATTGAGCCAGTGGTTGACAACCATCCTAGGAAGTATTTGGAAATGTGTGGAGACATGGTACGGTGGACACAATGATAGGGAGGGGCACTGTAGGTGGGAGCCAGAGATGGTGAGCATCCCAAAAGTGCAGAAGATCCCAAAGCCAAGAGCATCCACTGAGATATACTGAAGTCAGTTCCATCTACCCCAGCTGCTCTGACCATACCTGAACCACTGTACTCAGCACAAAGCCACAACAAATGTGGAAGGCAGGGAAGAACCAAGAGTTGCAAGAAGAAAAAAAATACAACATGCCCAAAAGGTGGTGATGAGGAAAAGGGGAAACTTAGAGGCAGATTGGGGCCAAAAACCTATAGACAACAGCTAGCAGGATTTACCAATGAGAACGGCAAGCAGCTTCTCAAAGAGGGATGCCCCTGCCAACACGGATGCTGAGCTGCAGCAGGATGTCTTCAGCTGGAGGGCGCTCTTGAGCCCATCAGCAGCCAAGGTCTACCTGTCCTACCTCCAAGCCTCTTGTGCTCGTCACTTCCTCTCCACTGCCACGATGTGGCCACACCTCTCATAGCTCAACTCATCTCATCCACCCCACGATTCACCTTGGGTCTCTAGGGTCCCAGGTTTGCCATTTACCACCACGGGCAAGGTACATAATACCTCTCTGCACCTCTGATTCCTCCTCTATAATGGCACACAGAGGATGAGGTCAATAATTACACTTTACGGCCGGGCACGGTGGTTCACGCCTGTAATCCCAACACTTTGGGAGGCCGAGGCATGCAGATCACCTGAGGTCGGGAGTTCAATACCAGCCTGACCAACATGGAGAAACCCCATCTCTACTAAAAATACAAAATTAGCTGGGCATAGTGGCGCATGCCTGTAAATAATTATGCTTTACACTTGGATGTCTCAAGGTAGCGCTGGAGTAGTTATTCTGAGCTACTGGAATATCAGCGAGTGCCACCTCCAGAGGGAGCTTCCCAGAGCCCAGCCCTGTACCATCTCTGAGCTTCCAGGAGTCCCCAGCTCTCCAGCCGCAGAATAAAACCTGCCTGGAAGCTGGCACTGGAGGGTCTCCATGGGCCCAGCCTAACCTGTCCACACCCTCCCAGGGCTCCCCCTTCTACCACCCACACTTCTGGCCAGACTATAGTGCCACTTGCTTATCACACCCAGCCCATTCCCAGGTGTTCCCATTCAGTTTTCTGATTCCACCATCACTACTGCCTCTACCAACATCCCAACCGACCCTTCAGGCCCAGCTCAAATGAGACCTCTCCGAGGAGTTTCCCAGATCCCCCTACCCAGGAATGACCTGCTCCCCTATCTCCCTATGCATGCCTCCCTATGGTTCTAGCTGATGTCTACTAGGCCTGGCTTCACCTATGAGGCTGGGGTCAGGGTGGTTTCATGGATGTGTGACCTTGTGCAGTCTCACAAGGCTCACAATTGGCTTCGCACTCTGCTGTTGCCATCGTGAAATCCTCAATGATTTATGTGCCGCAAGGAGCTCCCAATTTTCATTTTGCACTGGGCCTGCAAACTGCAAACTGCAGATGTGGTCCTGCTGAGGACTTCTCAAGGATGAGGCTTTGGTTTATCTCTGCATCTCACAGACTGCAGCAGTGACTGGGACACAGTAAGGACTTAACAAAGGAGGGAAGGTGGTGAGTCTCCATGTCTCTTTGTTCTGTGAGCAGCTGTCACCTCACACAGCTCATTATTCATAGGCTGGTGAGCTCACCTCTGTCCCCCAACAGACACACACACACACACACACACACACACACACACACACACACGAGAAGAAAGCAACAATTCAGCTCAGCTCATTCCCAAAAGCCACATTCCCTCCAACCCCGCTACACATCACTCCCACAGGACATCACAAAAAAAGGTCGCTGGATCCTACTGAAAATGCAGCCCCTCAGCACTTCATCTCAAACACTTTCTCCCACAGCAGGTGGCTGAGGGCTGGTGTGCTGAAAAGCTCACATTCTGCATGCGGGAACACTGACTCCGGAGCCATCCGGCTCTGCTGCTTGCTGGCTGTATAACTTTGAATGAGTCCCCTAGCACAAGGCCCAGAAAGGGGGAACCCTCAGGGATCTGGCTGTCCCCAGCCCTGCCCCTCTCTCAGACTCGACCCTGCCTCTTTCTGCAGGTTGGCTCAGAGACACAGGCCCCCAGGGATCACAGCACCCTGCCCTCATCATCTGCATTTATGGTCCCCACAAGTCCCAGACTCGGGAGGACGGACACACCCACAGGCCAAACAAGGCATTAGGAACATGGGATGGCACAGCTTCCTGGGATGCCCCAGCTTCCCGGGATGCCCCAGCTAATGGAATCGCACCCAGTCCTGGCTCTGATCGCAGTAGCACATCTGACACGTGCCCTCAATCCCTCCCTACCTCGTGACCCATAAGCAGCCTTTTGGCACAGGCACACAGCCATTAGTCAAGCAACCTGTGAGAAAAACACTGCCTGGCCATGCAAAACAAATGTAGGTGGCCCATTAGAAAGTGAGGACTTGTTTGTGAAAAGGTACATGTATGGAATGCAACAGCCTCCTCCCTCTGTATCTGACTTGGGAGCACTTTCATCATAAAATTTTGGTTGACACTAGATGTGTTCTTACTTGTAAGACAGCACAGTTATCAGGAAGAGTCACAGAATGTCAACAACAGAAGGGACCCCAAAGATAAAGTAGTCCAGTGCCCCATTTGACAGATGGGGAAACTGAGGCCTCTGTGTTCCCAGGGCCCCAGCCTGCTCCCCTTGGACACTGCACCTGTGTACTATATTGCCAATGACTGTTTACAAGACACCTCGCACACCAGACAGTGAATTCCTGGAGACCAGGGTGGTACCTTCATCTCTGCTGCCCTAGCTTCCCTCACAGGGCCAGGCAGCCAGGAGACACCCAATAAAGGATTGCTGAATTTCAAAACAATACGTGTACATGATAAATATATACAGTATTTGTCCATTTTAAAGGGTAATCAAGTTTTTAAAATGAAAATAAAGGATTGCTGAATAAATGAACAACCAGAGAGGCGGCCACCAGCCAAGGACAAACAAAGCTGAATCTGGAACACTGGCTTCCTGCTGTCCTCTCAGACTAAACGCAGTAGGTACTGGGTCACTGGGAGAATGGCAAGGCCAGTATGCTGTGTGTGCAGGGACAGGGCACCCCCAGGTTGGGAGCCAAGCCTAGTCCCAGCCCTGCCTCTGGCATTGGCATTGGCGTGCTAGCCATTTGACCACCAGAGCAGCCCCTCTCTGAAGCTCAGTTTCTTCCATTCTTGATTGCAGGACAAATAAACGTCACCTTACCTACCCACCAGTGTCTCAGCAAGGAAGGAGAGAGAGAAGGAAACGTCACCTTACCTACCCACCAGTGTCTCAGCAAGGAAGGAGAGAGAGAAGGAGGTGAAAGTGCACTGAAGACCTAATACACAATGTATACTTAAGCGGGACTGTCAGGGGACAAAGGTATTCACTGGGGACCCCCTGCCCCCACCCAGTAATGCTGCCACATTTTCCTTATCCACCAGCCCATTTACTCCTCCATAACCCTGTTAGGTAATGAGAACAGACATCTCAGCCCCACTTTACTGAAGAGAAAACAAGGTCGAGAGAGGCCATCGATAGTGTCTGTCCTCCAGTGGCCCTGCCAGGCCAAGGGGTTGGGGGCACGGCAAAGGGCTCCAGGAGTCCCTGCCCGCCCCAGACAGCAGCACCTGCCAATCTTGTGTATCAATGGGCAGCAGTGCTGGGCTGTGACTTGCCAAGTCCATAGTCAGTCCCTGAATGCCATAGGGAAGCATCTGCTCTGGACGGTCCCGTGCTTGGGGGCAGAATGACATAAGTCCAAAGTAGTTCAAACGGACCAGCAAAAAGTAACCAAAACATAGCCAACGGCCTGTGGACTAGAAGTCAGTGCAGACACCATTACCTGGTTTTCTAATTCTCCCTGGAGGAAACTGGATCAATGGGGGATGGGGGAAGGGACAGCAGTTTTTGACCCCCTACTCCCTGGGCCTGAACCCTTCCCAGAGCTGAGTCCTCTTCTCCACTCCCTACTGTCTCCCTACCCGGCGCGTGGCCCGCATGGGGCCTTCCCACAGGTGGACTGATTTTTCTGTCCCTCAGAACCAGAGCCAGTGGACAAAACCTCCGTTCCCAAACTCCAAGCCACCAATGGAAGGCCTCACATAGGAAGCTGTGGGTGGAAGATGGTGCGTTTCTACTGCCTGGTGGTTTTAGATCTCTATCGCCTACTCAGAATCTGAACCCTAGCCTGTGTGTGTGAGAGGCTGCACGTGCACATACAAAAACAGCAAGGTATCTACAAGGGGGGTCAGGATTGCAGAGGGGCTACCTGTGTGAGCTCTGGAGCCCAACTGCCTGCCTGGGAATCCCAGCTTACCCACTGACTAGCTGTGTGACTCAGGGCAAGTTCTTTAACCACTCTGTGCCTCTGTCTGCACCTCACTCTCCTTGCCCCTAAAACAGGGGTAAGCAAAGTACCCACCTCCCAGGATTTTTGTGAGGCTAAAATGAGATAACACCTAGCACACTTGCCAGACAAGAAAAGTTCTATTTTTCCCCAGCACAATGTTAATAGGGTTGCCTCTGGGATTTTGTGTGCTTTTCTTTTTCTTCTTCATTAATTAAATTTTCTACATGAATGTGCATGCTTTATTGTCAGCAAAGAATAAAGCTTTTTTTTTTTTTTTTTTTTTGATGGGGTAGGAAGAACAGCTCAGAATCCCAAGTAACCCTTTCTTTTAAACACAGAGGATGGAAGCAGCCCTCTCTCTGCTGGTCTATTTTAGGATCTTCTGGATGGGCAAGGAGTTCTACTGCCCAAAGCAGCCCAACCTTTTCTGCTCCCTGATTCCCAGCGTACCCCTTCCCCACCTCTGCCCATCCAGAAAAACTCAAATCTCACCTCCTCCAAGAAGCCCTCGCTGCTAGCTCAGCACCTCTCTTCCTCCTGGGGAACAAGGCCTTTCCTCACTCTGCCCTCCCCTAGCTGGCACTATCCACTCCAGAGGTCTTGTACCGGTCTCTGTTCCAGGGGCAAGGGGTTTGCCAAGACCCCAGCACAGCGGTCTTGAGGGGCAGGGCCACCTTCCTTCCTATGTCCTTTCAAAGCACTCGCTCTGCTTTTCTTCTTGGAACTTCGATACAACCTTATGAGAGGTGGACATGGGTTCAGGGAAGAAAAGTGATGAGCAGGTCACACTGCTGGACTTAACCCCAGTCTGACCAAGTCCATCAGGGCTCACTCTGCAGCCCCAGGCTGCTTCCCATGGGAGGCTCACAGCAGGCACTCAGCTGACAGACCCTCACCCGCAGGGCAGCACTGCCCTGGCCCATCATACATCTCTTCCTCCACCCTGTCCCCGCCAATGCCGTTTCACTACTCACGCCCCTTCTCCTTCCTCCCCAGGATTTCCCTTCTCCTCTGGCTGTGCTTTGGTCTGCAGTGACCCTAGCTGATGTTCTGAAGGTGTTCAGAGCTAAGGAGGCCAGTGACCCCACATCAAAAGGGGAAAAGAGAGAAAAAGTTTCTGAGCTTTGTAAAAGATGCTACTGGTTTTTCTCTGTTTTATGTCAAATAACCTGTAACACTCCTGGCAATGGTACATTTGAGCCCTGAGTATAGAAAAGAATTTGGCAGGACAGTTTAAAATGTCCAGACTTGAAGGTGTCAGATTTTGTAAGTGAAGAAATTCAGAACACAGAAGCAAACCTCAATTCAGGGACACTGGAGAAGTCCCTCAGCTGTTCAGACCACAGATTCTGTAAAAAAAGGATAGCAGATGTCCCCAGATCTCCCAGTCCCCTCCCAAGTTTCAAGAATTCTAAGGCTATCCTGGGGATATCAGTAGTCAGCGTAGGCTGGGCGCGGTGGCTCACGCCTGTAATCCCAACACTTTGGGAGGCCGAGGCAGGCGGATCACTTGAGGTCAGGAGTTCAAGACCAGCCTGGCCAACATGGTGAAACCCCATCTCTACCCAGGGCTCAAATGTACCACTGCCAGGAGTGTTACAGGTTATTTGACATAAAACAGAGAAAAACCAGTAGCATCTTTTACAAAGCTCAGAAACTTATTCTCTCCTTTCCCCTTTTGATGTGGGGTCACTGGCCTCCTTAGCTCTGAACACCTTCAGAACAAAAATTAGCCAGGCGTGGTGATGCACGCCTGTAATCCCAGCTACTCAGGAGGCTGAGGCACAAGAATTGCTTGA
The DNA here is from genome assembly GCF_000001405.40 of Homo sapiens. Taxonomy (NCBI): domain Eukaryota; kingdom Metazoa; phylum Chordata; class Mammalia; order Primates; family Hominidae; genus Homo; species Homo sapiens. The sequence goes on from NC_000010.11 coordinate 77,896,081, forward strand.
ACCCAAGAGGCAAAGTTTGCAGTGAGCCAAGATCCCGCCACAGCACTCCAGGAGACTGTGTCTCAAAAAAAAAAAATAGTAGTGAGTGTAAATGTCTATATCATAACAACGTGTTCTAACAAAGATCTGTCAACCATGGATAATCCAGATTTTATTTGGCTAGTATAACGTTAGCATAACAACCAGTTGCAACATGTTTCTTCAGAGCCTAGATTTTTAAAAAATCTATAAAAGGCAGGTATAGGGCAATTAGAGAGATTTAAGAAGAACTATAGACTAGAGGATATAATTGCATCAGTGCTGAGGTTCTTGGGTCTAATAATGGTGGTGTGTCATGTAGGAATATGTACTGGTTTGTGCATACTTCAAGGTTTAGGGGTAAACTGTCCTGATGTCCACAACTTTTTTCCAAATGAATCAGGAAAACAAGTTTTATATGGATACATCTGCAGAGTGAGAAAGTAAAAAAGCAAATATGGCCCAGGCGCAGTAGCTCACTCCTGTAATCCCAGCACTTTGGGAGGCCAAGGGGGGGTGGATCACTGAGGTCAGGAGTTCGAGACCAGCCCAGCAAATATGGTGAAACCCTGTTTCTACTAAAAATACAAAAAAATTTGCCGGGCATGGTGACGAGAGGCTGAGGCAGGAGAATCGCTTGAACCCAGGAGGCAGAGGTTGCAGTGAGCTGAGATCACACCATTGCACTCCAGCCTGGGCCACAAGAGTGAAATTCCATCTCAAAAAAAAAAGCAAATATGGCAAGCTGTTAACCACTGGTGAGTCTCGGTGACGACTAAACAAGTGTTTATCGTACTTTCCCTTCCATTCTTTGATGGATCTGAACATTTTCAAAACAAAATGTCAGAGAAAGAAAGTATCATTAAAATGTTTAAAACAGAAAATTCGAAGAAAAATAATCCCACTGCCCAAATAATTCTATAAAATATTTGTTGCTTACTGCAGGAAAAAAAAATAGGCATCAAAAAATTAAAAAGCCAGGCATGGTGGCTCACACCTATAATCCCAACACTTTGGGAGGCTGAGGCGGGCAGATCACCTGAGGTCAGGAGTTCAAGACCAGTCTGGCCAACATGGTGAAACCCCATCTCTACTAAAAATACAAAAATTAGCTGGATGTAGTGGTGCATGCCTGTAAACCCAGCTACTCAGGAGGCTGAGGCGGGAGAATAGCTTGAACCTGGGAGGCGAAGGTTGCAGTGAGTGGAGACTGCGCCACTGCACTCCAGCCTGGGCAACAGAGAGAGACTCCATCTCCAAAAATAAATAAATAAATAAATAAATAAATAATTTTTGCTATTTAACAATTGATTTAAAAACAAGTGAGTAATGTTGTGCTACTGCTGCCATGTTTCATGTACCCCAAAAGGGAAAATATCCTAAGAGAATCTTTCCTCTTAATAAACTAATGTTTAGGCAAACAGATAAAAATAACACTTGAAGAAAAAATCTGGTTGGCTCATGCCTGTAAGCCCAGCACTTTGGGAGACCGAGGTGGGTCAATAACCTAAGCCCAGGAGTTCAAGACCAGCCTGGGCAACATAGTGAGACCCTATTTCTACAAAGAGAGAAAGAGAAAGAGAAGGAGAGGGGGAGGGGGGAAAGGGAGAGAAGGGGAAAGGGGGAGATAGGAAAGAGACAAAAGAAAAGAGAGGAAAAAGAAAAAGATCTATCATATAATTTCTTAGTGGTAGAATTAAAGAAAAAAAAAAGGATGTGGTTCCCAAAATGAGGGCCTATACAAACACAGGAGACATGATGAAGTTTGAAAATATTCTATCCAAATATTCTGGTCCCCTTGTCTCTGTGTCACTGGAGAGTGGTAGAATTTCCAGGCAGGTTCTATCTCCTTTCCCATAGATAGCATAGCCCCTGAGGCTCCCCAGAGACCCTCCGAAGTCCTGTGATTGCCCATTCAGGAGTGTGGGACCACCAAACACTACTCAAGACCAGCATGGCTTCAAGGAAGCTTTGGCCTCAGGGTAGCTGCTGCTACCACAAGCACCTTCCTCCCAGGAGCCAGAACAGCCTTCTCCATCAGCGCAGGTGACCAAGTGGCACATGGCTCACTTGGCCACCACGCTTAGGCCAAAGCAGCCCTGCATGTCCCCATCAACCTGGCCTCCCCAAAGACCTGGATTCTGTTTCCACATCTCCACCCTCTACCACACGTGGACTCTGCAGTTCCCTGGGACTTCACTTTTCTTGGAGAAGGAGAGAGAAAAAGGGAAGCAAATCCTGAATTGCTCGTAGGATTTAAAAACCTCTCCACAGAGGGGAGCTGGGGACAAGGTAGGGGAGACAGTGCTAGCAGCACAATCTGAGGACGGGTCCCCTGCCAGCCCTCCGGGCACACAGGGAGCAAAAGGAGAGGCAGAGGCACATGGGAGCAGGGGCTGGGAGATGCTGCATGGCGCAGGCTGTGGGCTTGGCTATTAAAGCCAGAAAAGGCCTGCCTCCTCCTGCCAATAGAGTTATCTTTTAATCCGAACCCCAATGACACCACCTGGCACCAGCGCAGGAGCAGCTCCTGACGGCACACGAGTCACGCGGCTGGGCCCCGCGTCTATCCCTTCAGGTCAGGGCTTGCCCTGAGTGCTCCTGAGGAAGTGGGCCCCTGCCCCCTCCATGGCCTGGCTCCTGACAGGCCTGTGCATGCCTGAGAGGGCCAGGCAGGCGGTAAGGAAGTAGAGGAAGCTCCGTGCTGTGCAAGGTCACCAAATGCTAGATGCAAAGACCCAGAAAGGGAGGGCACTCACCCAAAGTCACCCACGCCGGGACGGGGCAGCAATCCCAGGATTCTCCTCCTACCCAGATGCGGCAAAGAGGTTTGCAGCCCAGGACAGCTGTTATCAACTAGCCAGTGCTGGAAAACAGCAGGTAGCACCCCAGACCTGCCACTCTCCACGTACTCAGACAACTCATGGCCCAATCTGAAGATGGCTTTCCTCTGAATTCTCCCACATCTGTGCCCTCCTGCAGGGCTTGGTTTCTGAGGTCCCATCCGCCTTGAAGTTGGCAAGGGCTAGGGTAGCATGTAACCTATCTCCCTAGTAAGGATGGCACTGACTCTGCTGTGGCAGCATCCAGGCCAGGCAGCCATCCAGGCCCTCCCAGACTGGGGGAGCTCAGCACCTCCAGAGGCAGCCACCTCACCACAGACCAACACACCCTGCTGCAGCGTTCTTCCTTGTGGGCAATGGAAATCTGCCAGCAGGAACTGGTAGCAGAAAACTCCCCAAAGCCTGCTCCAATTCTCCACCCCAGTACAATGGGCGTGCCCTCAGGATTCCAACAGCCAAGGGCAAAATCCCGACTCACTGGCTTGGGACTCTGGGCAAGTGACTTACTCTCTCTATGCCTCAGTTCCCTCATCTGTAAAATGAGGAGAGTAGTGGCCTTCATCTTAGAGTTGCTGGGATGAGATGATCCTTGCAACCTCCCGGGGCACACATGAGTGGTCAACAAATGCTTTCTATGGCTACACTACAATGCACAGTTCCACAGGCTCAAGGCCCAGCTTTCTGCCCCTCTCCTCATACTCATTCCACTTTCTCATGACCAGACTTGTGCTCAGCAAGTGTCCACTCCTATAGGTTCGCTCAGGGGTAGCTGGCTCACCAGGGACACATTTTAAACCCTGGCCTCTTCCTCCAAAACTTCAGCTCAGAGCCTTGGCAAGCCATCCCTGCCGCCCACTGGAGATGGCTGACGAGAAAACCAGAAAGAGACCATGAAAGAGGAAGGCTCTTCTCACTCCTCACTCATCCTTATCTTGGACCAGTATCCTCCACACAACACCAACACCCAAACATAACAGCAAATGGATATAATCTTATCAATTTCATCCTCCACAACCTTCTACGGCTCCCTCTGGCCTAAAGTCAAAAAGCCTTACCCCAGACTTTAAAAGGAAGAGATAAACACTTAGTGAACATTTGACTATGTGTCAAGTTCTCTGCTCTACAGTGTATATATATTATATCATTTAATAACTCCCTCTAAAATTCGTCTTATTGCTTGCATCTTACAGGTGAGGAAGCTGAGGCTCCAAGACACTAGGCAACTTACCTAAGCGTCACAGCTCAGAAACAGAAGCAGATTTGGAGGCCAGATCTGGGAGGCCACAAGGCTGGGTCCTTGGCACAGCCTCTACCTCCTCTCCAGGTCATCTCCTGCAACCCCTCCCTGACCCAGCCACTGTCCAGTCACCACGGTGCCCATGGTCACCTGGCACACCTGGCTGTGTCCTACATTAATGCATATCCTCACGCTTCTGCTTCTCCTGCCTGGAACGCACCTACCTATCACCTAATGAACTTCTACTCAGCCCAGAAAGCTCTGCTCTCAAGTTATCTCCTTCAGGAGACAGACCTTCACCCCGGGGCCCCCTTCCATAAGAGAAAAACGATCCCCTTTGGCTGGGCATGGTGGCTCACGCCTGTAATCCTAACACTTTGGGAGGCCAAGGCGGGTGGATCACTTGAGGTCAGGAGTTTGAGACCAGCCTGGCCAACGTGGTGAAACCCCGTCTCTACTAAAAATACAAAAATAAAGCCTGGGCACAGTGGCTCACACCTGTAATCCCAGCACTTTGGGAGGCCGAGGCAGGCATATCACGAGGTCAGGAGTTTGAGACCAGCCTGACCAACATGGTAAAACCCCATCTCTACTAAAAATATAAAAATTAGCCAGATGTGATGACATGAGCCTGTAATCCCAGCTACTCAGGAGGCTGAGGCAGGAGGATTGCTTGAACCCGGGAGGCGGAGGTTGCAGTGAGCCAAGATCGTGCTACTGTACTCCACCCTGGGTGACAGAGCGAGACTCCGTCTCAAGTAAATAAATAAATAAATAAGCAAGCAAGCAAGCCGGGCATGGTGGTGCACGCCTATAGTCCCAGCTACTTGGGAGGCTGAGGCAGGAGAATGGCTTGAACCCGGGAGGCAGAGGTTGCAGTGAGCCAAGATCGCGCCATTGCACTCCAGCCTGGGTGACAGAGTGAAACTCCATCTCAAAAAAAAAAAAAAAAAGAAAAGAGAAGAAAAAAGAAAAACAATCCCTTTCCTTGGATGTGTTTCCCAAGCGCCCACAGCAAGGCACAACTTATCAGTCCCCAAGTCAGCTGTGCTGCCGTCTGCTCCCTAATGTGGACCATTCATCCTGACTACTACAGCACAGTACGTTTACTTGAAGAAGTGAATAAATGATGTTCCTTCTGACTTACAGACCAAGAAACAGGGCCGTCAGAGCAGACTTGACCTTTACAGGGACAACTGGTAAACAGCCCATCTACAGTAGCATCCTGGAGGTTACACCTGGCAAAGAGTTACCCCTTGGCTGGGTGCACCTGAGCAAACCCATCTGGACTAACGCCGGTGTCAGGAAGTAGCACATCCACACAGTGCAGCTATGGCCCTCTGAGGAAAGACTGCTGCATCGCATCAGAAAGGCAGCATCCGTGACTTCTGCGGTCCACGCTGACGGGTGGGGAGGCACCTTGGGGCCTCCTTCCCGCACTGCAGACAATGGCTGGGAAGCCCACACCCCAGCCTCCTGGCACTCTCACTTCTAGGCACAGGATGCAGCAACCCCTGGCAAAAGCAGCTCCTCTTTGCTGACCTGGACATAAGGACGCCAGGACCCACAGTGGGCCTGAGCCAACAGCACCCGGCTCCAACGGTGGAGCAGCCCAAGGTCCCCCTGGGGAAGGGCTGGAAAGACGAGCTCTCTGTCCTGACCCACTTCTCCCTGCACACTCTTCCCAGATCTGGCCTGGCCCAGCCAGAAAGCCAACTATGAGATCCTTCTCATCTTATGACATTAGTAAGAGAAATACTCACTCGTATGCTGGTATTAGCACATTAGACTCCCCAAGGCCACTCCCACTTTACAGAGGAACAAAGTGACACCCAGAGCCAAGTCCCTAAACTGAGCTCCTCTCACTCGCTGCCACCGAGCTGCACTCACACCACAGCTCTCCCTTAGAGGGAACAGACAGGTGTGGTCTCTGTCTCCCTTCCAGGACAGGCTTGGACACTGAGGAGATGCCGTGCCTATTTCCCAAACACCGAGTAAAAGGAACCCCTGGGGTCCAGCCCACACCCAGGTTCTGATTCACAGACCTAGGGTGAGGCCAAGGGGTTTAATCTTTCAGAAGCTTCCCCAGTGACTCTGAAAAAGCCAATCCAAAGACTGCACCCGGGGAACCCCAAGCGTGAACCCAGGACTGCTGTTTCAGCCCAGCAATTTGTATCAACAGCCGTTCAAAGTCCACACCCTTTGACCCAACAGCACCACTTCTAGGAATTCATCCTGAGAAAATAAAGAAGCATACAAAGATCTATAGCATGAGGTGATGCACCGCAGCATTGTAAGTACAGAAAAAATGGGAAATCTCTACATCTCCAATCAAGAAGAACTGGTGACATAAATCTCAATCAGGCAAGACTGTGCTCCCATTAAAAACGAGCCATTGAGGGCCGGGCGCGGTGGCTCATACCTGTAATCCCAGCACTTTGGGAGGCCGAGGTGGGCGGATCATGAGGTCAGGAGATCGAGACCATCCTGGCTAACATGGTGAAACCCCATCTCTACTAAAAATACAAAAAATTAGCTAGGCGTGGTGGCATGCGCTTGTAGTCCCAGCTACTCGGGAGGCTGAGGCAGGAGAATGGCGTGAACCCAGCAGGCGGAGCTTGCAGTGAGCCGAGATCGTACCACTGCACTCCAGTCTGGGCGACAGAGCGAGACTCCATCTCAAAAAATAAATAAAAAAATAAATAAATAAATAAATAAATAAATAAACGAGCCATTGAGCATCCCTCATTCTGGGCGACAGAGCGAGACTCCGTCTCAAAAAATAAATAAATAAATAAACGAGCCATTGAGCATCCCTCATTCAAAAATCCAAAATGCTCCAGAATCCCAAACTTTCAGAGCATCAACATGAGATAGTAACACCTTTGCATTCTGATGGTTCAATGTACATACACTTTGTTTCATACACACAATTATTTAAAATAGTGTATAAAATCACCATTAAGCAGCCGGGCGCAGCGGCTCACGCCTGTAATCCCAGCACTTTGGGAGGCCGAGGCAGGCGGATTGCTTGAGGTCAGGAGTTCGAGGCCAGCCTGGCCAATATGGAGAACCCCCGTCTCTACTAAAAATACAAAAATTAGCCGGGCGTGGTGGCACGTGCCTGTAGTCCCAGCTACTCGGGAGGCTGAGGCAGGAGGACTGCTTGAACTCGGGAGGCAGAGGTTGCAGTGAGCTGAGATTGCACCACTGCACTCCAGCCTGGGTGATAGAGTGAGACTCTGTCTCAAAAAAAAAAATAAAAAAGAAAAATAAAATTAAAAATACAATTAGCCGGGCATGGTGGTGGGCACCTGTAATCCCAGCTACTGGGGAAGCTGAGGCAGGAGAATCGCTTGAACCTGGGAGGCAGAGGTTGCGGTGAGCCGAGATCGTGACACTGCACTTCAGCCTGGGCAACAGAGTGAGACTCTGTTTTGAAACTCCATCTCAAAAAAAAAAAAAAAAAAAATCACTTTTAAGCTATATGTAGAAGGTATATATGAAACATAAATGAATTTCATGTTTAGACTTCGGTCCCATCCCCAGGATATCTCATTATGTATATGGGAATATTCCAAAATCCAAAAATAATCAAAAATCGGAAATACTTCTGGTCCTAAGTATTTTGGATAAGGGATATTCTGCCTGTTACAGCATCAGACCTAAAACTTGGAGCCCACTTCAATTAGTGCAGGAAGGACTGCAGATGGCATCTACATACACCATGAAGGTGATAGAACTCCTTCCCTGACATGGCTGAGGTTCTACTTGAATATTCCCAGAAAACAAGAGCTCTCGCAATTCCTTAACAGTGGTTTCTGGCAATTAAAAGGCTGCTCTAAGTCAAGTGTGGTGGTGTGCACCTGTATCTCAGCTACTCAGGAGGCTGCAGTGGGAGGATCAGTGGGAGGATAACTTGAGTCCAAGAGTTTGAGGCTGTAGTGCACAATGATCACGCCTATGAATGGCCACTGCACTTCAGCCTGGGCAACATGGCAAAACCCCCATCTCAACAAAAGGAAAAAGAACATGTTGCTCCTCTCATTCTGTCTTGCTGCCACCATGTTAGAAGTGCCTTTTGCCCTCCACCACGATTATGAGACCTCCCCAGCCATGTGGAACTGTTCATAGGCGGAAGGGACTTGCCTTGTCTCAGATGAGACTTTGGACTGTGGACTTTTGGATTAATTCTGAAATGAGTTAAGACTTTGGGGGACTGTTGGGAGGGCATGATTGGTTTTGAAATGTGAGGACCTGAGATTTGGAGGGGCCAGGGGTGGAATGATAATGATTTGGCTGTGTCCCTATTCAAATCTCAACTGAATTATATGTCCCAGAATTCTCACGTGTTGTGGGAGGGACTTACGGGGAGGTAACTGAATCATAAGGGCCGGTCTTTCCCATGCTATTCTTGTGATAGTAAGTCTCGGGAGATCTGATGGGTTTATCAGGGGTTTCCGCCTTTGCTTCTTCCTCATTCTTTCTTGCTGCCACATTGTAAGCAGTGCCTTTTGCCCTCTGCCATGATTATGAGACCTCCCAGCCATGTGGAACTGTAAGTCAAATTAAACATCCTGTTCTTCCAAATAAAAAAAAAAACAAAAACATGTTGCTCCTAATCCTGAGCAGAGTTTTACTTTCCTGAAGGTAAAATCTCCTGGCTCCGGCCGGGCGCGGTGGCTCAGGCCTGTAATCCCAACACTTTGAGAGGCTGAGGCGGGTGGATTGCCTGAGGTCAGGAGTTTGAGACCAGCCTGACCAACATGGTGAAACCCCATCTCTACTAAAAATACAAAAATTAGCCGGGTGTGGTGGCAGGTGCCTGTAATCCCAGCTACTCGGGAGGCTGAGGAAGGAGAATCACTTGAACCCGGGAGGCAGAAGTTGCAGTGAGCCGAGATCGCGCCACTGCACTCTAGCCTGGGCGACAAGAGCGAGACTTCATCTCAAAAAAAAAAAAAAAACTCTCCTGGCTCCTTGTCATTTTTAAAAATATTTTCATAGAGATGAGTTGTCACTGTGTTGCCCGGGCTGGTCTCAAACTCCTGGGCTCAATCGATCCTCCCACCTCGGCCTCCAAAAGTGCTGGGATTACAGGCATGAGTCACCTCATCCAGCCCATCTTCCTGTCTTATGTAGTATCACAAGCTCAATAAACACGTGGAATGGAGTGGTTGTTTTCCTAGACCATTCATACTTTTTCCACTATGGCCAAGATGAGAATATGGGTTTTTACAAGCACTGCTGATGCATATTCACAATGCCATCTTTAAATCAAGTGTTTGCGCACCTCTTCCTTCCACAATCACCTAGCTAATCATCCTTGTCCCTACGTTAAAAACACCCTTGTCCCTGCTGTGTCAACTATCACATGACCTGAAGTTGTCCCTCCCCACCTGGTGACCTTAACAGCTATGTAACAGCATGGGTAACTCTTTACCAAGACCATTTCTGGGTGAACGACCTGCCTGAGGTTGCCAGCTCAGCCAAGGCACAAGGTGCCACAGAGTTGAGTGATGGAGCACAGCCAAGACCCTCCCCTCAAAGACAGCACTAGGATGGGAAAGAGATGTATTTATTTCCTCTTCTCTCTCTCGTCTTATTTATTTCCTTTTATTCCCATTTCCCTCCCCTCACCCACAGTCAACCATTCTCTTGTGTTAATCTGTTCATATTCTTGCAAGATGGGTATTGTTCTATATCAGCAATCTACATAATAGCACTGCACCATCCATGCTCTATTTCTTATGTTTTCACTGAGCACTGTGCATTTAAATACATCATGCTGCCTGCCACGTGTGCTTCTCACCAGTCACTTGGAATTGCTGCAAGGGACTACAGACTCATACCCACCCATTATACCCATTTGCTCTGCAGGAATGGACATCCAGCTCTACCTCACCACCACAAACAACACTGCAGTGAACACCCTGGACCTTCCCCTTAGGACCTGCATGAGAACCTGGGGAACTGACACCCATGGGAGGGGCTTCTGGGTCAGGGCTTTGCTGGTACCCTGCCAGAGGCTCCAGGACAGCTGCAACTGCAAAGGCAAGAGTTCCTGCATCCCCACACCCACTGCTGATAGGCAGCATCCAGCTTTCTAGTTCCCACCAGTCTAAGAGGTGAAACAGGATCGAGCTCAAGGTTGTGTTCCAGTATGGATTCTTACCAAACCTGACTGAACCGTACCTGCTAAGGGAATGGCAGGAAAAGCACTTGTACCGTAAGCATCACTGGTGTGAAATGGAAACAACTGCTCATTGATAAGTCTCCACTGTGAGGCCTCACTTTCTTGAATCGTCAGGGACTTCTGGAACACAAATGTCATGCACTGGCCTACAAAATGCCATCAATCCCACCTTCTCCCACTGGCTGAGGCTCCTCCCAAGGAGGTCGACTGTTCAGGATGGGCAGCAACAGTGCTGCGCTCCACTTTTTTTTTTTTTTTTTTTTTTCCTGAGATGGAGTCTCACTCTGTTGCCCAGGCTGGAGTGCAGTGGCACAATCTTGGCTCACTCCACCATCCACCTCCCCAGTTCAAGCGACTCTCCTATCTCAGCCTCCCGAGCAGCTGGAAGTACAGGCACGTACCACCATGCCCAGCTAATTTTTATATTTTTCAGTAGACATGGGGTTTCACTATGTTGGCCAGGTTGGCCTTGAACTCCCGACCTCAGGTGATCCACCTGACTCAGGCTCCCAGAGTGCTGGGATTACAGGTATGAGCCACCGCGCCTGGCCCAGAGCTCCACTTTTTTATTTGCAATCACATCATCCTTCTATTGATGACTTACCTGCAGCTCACACTACACACCACTCACCACGTGATCTGACAACACTGAAGCAGTCTATACCTGTTCAATGAGTACTAGCAAGGTCAAGTTGCTCTAAAGGTTGCTAAACACTCAATCTCTGTGCTTGCTTACTTCATCACAGACCAGGAACCAGAAGATTGCAAACCAGCACTGGTCTGTAGACCACACCCTGAGTTGGGGGTAGAGTAGGGAGAAACAAACCAACCAACCCGCCCTGGATGTCATGGCTGGGCTCCTGCCCCCCTATGCCACTTAAACAGCCATGGAACTGGGACAATCATAAGAATGAAAATAACTGGGCCGGCGCGGTGACTCATGCCTGTTATCTCAGCACTTTGGGAGGCCAAGGCAGGCAGATCACTTTAGCCCAGAAGTTCAAGACCAGCCTGAGCAACATGGTGAAACCCTGTCTCTATAAAAAATACAAAAAGTAGCCAGGCACAGTGGCATGCACCTATAGTTGCAGCTACTCAGGAGGCTAAGGTAGGATAATCAATTGAGCCTGTGAGGTGGAGGTGGCCATGAGCTGAGATCATGCCACTGCACTCCAGCCTGGGCAACAGAGTTATACCCTGTCTCAAATACACACATAAATATAGCAGCTTACGCTTACACAGTACTTACCATGTGCCACACACTGCTGTCAACACTTACTAACTTATTTAACCCTCACAATACAAGGTCCTGTTATTATCCCCATTCCACAGATGAGGAAACCAAGGCACAGAGAGAGAAAGCAATTTGGCCATGGTCACGGTAAGTGGCAGATTCAGGATTCAAACCCAGTATCTTGGCTCAGGTACAGGCTCTTAATTACTCTCCTAAACTGACTCCTGAGTAACCCGGCCTTCCTTACCTGTTTCCTCACTTGTAAGGTCAGGTAAGGACCCCTAAAAGGTTGCTGGTGAGATCAAATGAGAAAATAAATACAAAAATAATAAAGTATCCTATGCAACACAACACCTACCACCTACACAGCATACAACCACCCATGTGTGGCCATGAACCTGCAGCAGCCACCTACCTTTCACACAAGCCACAAGAGGGCGAGGGAGTCACGGATCCCACTGCAGAGGTGAGGACATGAGGCCTGGAAAGCAGAGGTACCCTCAGCCCCCTCTCTCCTTAGCCATGCTCTTCTCCTCCCCAAAGAGACAGCCACAACACAGGAACATGTCCCACACTCCCCAGAGGACACACCAACTCTATTTCCAAACATCCCCACTGTAACTCTCAGAGTTGAAACTGGGGAGAACGCTGGCTTTCCAATCCTCCTAGCAACTCACAGACAGCCAGTCAGACACCTCAGGGGATCCTGGGAAGGCCAGCCAGTCTACATCCTCACCTACCCACCTGCGGCCACCGGGTCCTCCTTCACACATCACAGACCACCCATCAGCCTCCCACCCAATGCCAACCCAACCCATTCCCCTCTCCAGCCCCAGCAGCCTCACAAGAGAACCAGCCCAGAGAGAATGACTGGAAGGACAGCAGAGGCTGGTTGGCCTGGCCTCATTTTTCCAGCACCTGCTGAGCGAATGCTCCAATCAGAAGCCCTGAATTACCAGACAAACCCGCCAGTCACAGAATGGATTCTCTCCCAAGTCCTGCTCTGTGCTCTCCCCTCGCCAGGTCTACCTCCCTCCTTCCAGCCGCCTGCCTATGCCCAGCTCACCATACACCCTCCTTCCTTAGGCACTGAAACTTCAAGCAGCCTCACCTGTCTGGCACTATCTGTACTACTAGATACCCACTTGTTCAAGTTTTCCAACAAGACAATAAACTCCTGGGGGGTGGGGGGAGAGAAGCCATCTTCTTTGTTGCCCTTCTGAGAATCTGATGGATTTTTAGACACAAAAACACTTGCCATGTGCTATAAAGCACAAAATGGAAGGTGAGAAGGAGGAAGTCAGTATAAGCTAGGCTGATTATTTTCTGGTATTTCTAAAAGCTCCACAATAGAGCAATTAAAAAGGAAAACCTTTGAAACACAACAGCAGGATATATATGTTCCAGCTAAAAGAACGAATCCAGGTTGGAATATTGTTCATGGTAGATATCTTTCCATCTTTGCATGCTCAGCACTTAGCCGAGCCTGGTAAAGAGTAGTGACCAGGTACTTGCTGGAGAGATAGACAGATAAACTCTTGTCAGAATCTGGGCTCCACCCTAAAGCTTGTGTTATCTCATGCAAGGAGAAGACACTGTGACCAGCTCCACTGAGTTCTCATGAGAAGCCTGAAGATGAGGGAGGTTACAGAAAACCAAATACTGCATGTTCTCACTCCTAAGTGAGAGTTGAACAATGAGAACACATGGACACAAGGAGGGGAACATCACACACCAGGGCCTGTCAGGGGTGGGGGTCTAGGAGAGGGATAGCAACAGAAGAAATACCTAATGTAGATGACGGGTTGATGGGTGCAGCAAACCACCATGGCACGTGTATACCTATGTAACAAGCCTGCGTGTTCTGCACATGTACCCCAGAACTTAAAGGTATTAAAAAAAAAATGAGGGTGGCTGAGGACAAAAGATCAAGACTACATGAAATTTCACAACTTCCCACAGAAACAAGGACAGCTGGTCACCGTTTTGTTCTCTCTCCCTGGGCTCACAAAATCGGGGGAAATGCAACAAGATACAGAAAGGTGGTTTGCCATTTTCTAGCAAAAATGAGTGGGGGGATACATAGGCGCATATATACTCACACCCACAGCCCCTAAACTCTAAACCGCCATGGGTTTAGCTCCGTTTTTTTCAGGAGAAGGACTCAAAACCAGCACATTTTGGTTTTGTTTACTTTCCTGCTTTTTCTTGGATCCAGCTCCTACTGAGATTGGCTATCAGGGTGGGTCCCAACTCAGTGTCCACGGGGCCTTATCCTCTTATCTTTATAAAAGGCTTTTTTCCCTGGGACAAGAGGCCCGGTGGCCTCATTTTCCTGCCTGAACTCTGCCCTGTGACTAAGCAAGAAGAAGCCACGGCAGCCAGCACCCAGAGTTTCTGCTGTGTCACAAAAAGGAGTCATGGGTCTCCCTGCCAGCATCAGACCCATTCCCCGACTCAGCACTCAATTTAGATATCACGTCCTACGTCTACATCCAGAAAGCCCCCAGTGTGACAGATGCTCAGAACACATCTGCTGAATGAATGGACGAATGCTGTGACGAAGAGAGGTGGAGAGGTAGGCAAGGCTCAGACCACAGAAATGGTCACAGGGTGGCCTGCAGTACCGAGTAAAGGTAGTCATTATCAAAAAACTGACAAGGACTCCAGGGCTTGCCTAGCCTCTCAGCAGCTGATGGCCCTGAGCAGGCTACCAAACTCTACTGGCCGAGTGTGCCCATCTGTAAAAGATAAATATCAATTGCAGAGGCTGATAAAAGATTTTTTTCATTGATCAGGAATTAAAGGCTGTAGCTCAAGTCCAGAAACTGGGATGCTGTGTCACTTGCTCACCCTCACTGTAAAGGCTGGTGCCCACAAAGCCAGGAGAATGTCAGGAAAAACTAGCCACGGATCTGAGACTTCCCACCCAGCCTGCTCCTGGTAAAGAAGTCTTGGAAGGAACCCCAGCCTGGGAAGAGACCTGTTTCTCATTTGTAAAATAAGGAGTTTGGGCAAAGTGGTTTCTAAGATCCCTTCCAGCCATGGCATTCAACAATCATAGGCTCCTTAAGAAATGTAGGCCGGGCGTCGTGGTTCACATCTGTAATCCCAGCACTTTGGGGGGCCAAGGCAGGTGGATCACCTGAAGTCAGAGTTTGAGATCAGCCCGACCAACATGATAAAACGCCGTCTCTACTAAAAATACCAAAAATTACCTGGGTGTGATGGCACACGCCTGTAATCCCAGCTACTGGGGAGGCTGAGACACAAGAATCTCTTGAACCTGGAAGTCAGAGGTTGCAGTGAGCTGAGACTGCACCACTGCACTCTAGTCTGGAGTGCAGCCTGTGTGACAGAGCGAGATTCTGTCTGAAGGAAAAAAAAAAAAAAAAAAAAAACATAAACAGGAAAAGAAGTTCTGGTCAGATGAGAAGAAAGGTTACTTGGAATGAGAATAGAGGTTACCATGAATACTGAAAAGGCCACTATATATTTTTTTTAAGAATTAAAGTGTTTTATTGATTGATTGATTGATTGAGACAGGGTCTTACTGTCCACCCAGGTTGGAGTGCACTGGCCCAATCTCAGCTCATGCAACCTCTACCTGTCAGGTTCAAGGGATCCTCCCACCTCAGTCTCCCAAGCAACTGGGACCACAGGCATGCGCCACAGCTAATTTTTGTATTTTTTGTACAGATGGGGTCTCCCTATGTTGCTCAGGCTGGTCTCGAACTCCTGGGCTCAAGCAATCCGCCTGCCTCCCAAAGTGCTGGAATTACAGGTGTAAGCTACCACACCTAGCCAGAATTAAAGTATTTTAAAGTATTACTTCTTACGTTAAAATATGTAAATAGAATTAGATTTTGTTTCCTTTGTTTTGCTATCACCTTCCTCAATATTGGCTGGAAAGATCTTTACTACATTTGGATAGCAGATTGGCAATGGTCAAATATGTGCAGATTTAATTTGGGGACTCAGGGGTCATCTTAGAGCCAGGGAGGTACCATTCAGACAAGCAAACTGGGGTGGACTCTGAAGAAGAGGTTTGAGAGGCATGCCACATCTATAAAAATCCTGTTGGCAGGGAAAACACACCCTGGCTTGAGGTGGCCACCAGGGCAGCAGCTCTGAGTCAGAGATGGCCATCTCTAATGGCACCGCTTTCCACACGGGCAGCCCTGCAGCCCCCACGGCAGGCTGCATGTTAGCAGGAGCTTGTTTACGCATAAAAACGAACAGTTCTCTTATGCAATAGAGGGGTAAGGCAAACAAGTGATAACATTTTCTTAAAAAAAAAAAAAAACAGGCTGGGTGTGGCAACTCATGCCTGTGATCCCAACACTTTGGGAGGCTGAGGAGGGAGGATCACTTAAGGCCAGGAGTTCAAGACCAGCCTGGGCAACACAGCGAGACCCCATCTCTATGAATTTTTTTTTTTAATTAGCTCAGCATGATGGTGGGTACCTGTTGTCCTAGCTACTCAGGGAGGCTGAGGCAGGAGGATCGCCTGAGCCCAGGAGTTCAAGATTACATTGAGCTAGGATCATGCCATCAATCATGACAGCATGGGCAACAGGGTAAGACCCTGTCTCTTTAAAAAAAAAAAAAAAAAAAGGTTAATTTTTCTATTTATATCTATCTATCAATTTATTTATAGAGATGGGGTAGGGTCTCACTATGTTGCCCAGGTTGGAGTGCAGTAGCTATTCACAGGCATGACCCCACCACTGATCAGCATGAGAGTTTTAACCTGCTCCATTTCTGACCTCCTTAGGCAACCTGGTGGTCTCCTGCTCCCAGGGTCACCATATTGATGCCAAACTGGCCACCTGATTAGCATAGCACACTACAGCCCAGAACTCTTGGGCTCAAGCGATCCTCCCTCCTCAGCCTCCCAAGTAGCTAGGACTACAGGAACATGCCAGCATGCCCACAAGAATAATTTTTCAAAAAAAAAAAGTAACCACTGCTCACTGCAATTGACCTTCTGATGGGATTTTCACTCTGCTCCTCCCCACATCACTGTCCTGGTTAACAGAGAGTGGTTTTTACTCGCCACAAAGTGGCTATGTGTCTTTTTTAAAAGCACAGTTCATCCCAAGAGGAAACCTACAAAGGAAGCAGGTGAAGACAAGAGTACCCAGTGAAAACACCATCTGCAGCCTCTGGCTCCAGCAGTGGCTCACCACCCCAGCTCAGCTCACGCAAAGCAAGGTGAGGCTTTCAGGTGGTGCTTCCCTCTCCCACATGGGGAGCATCTTAAACCAAAAGCAAGCAGACCAGTGGTTTTCAAACTGGGTTCTGTGAACTGTGGAGAACCCCAGGGAAACCTGTGGAGGAGCCTCAAGAAGGCCACAAGCTCAAGGGACAAGCTCCAAGCCCATACTCCCCATCAGTGCCTCTCTCGTCTAATTTACAGATCTGGCTCTCACCTAAGAGTGCAGTTAACAAAAAAGACCTCATGGCTAAAAAAAATAAAAATAAAAAACTTAAGTCATAAAAGACATTTACACTTTGTACGTGTTATTTCATTTAATTGTTTGCATCAGCCCTCTGAGGAAACCATGGCTAAACAGTTTCAGGATTGCAAGTCGCCACCTAGAACAGTCCACTCCAGAGCTGGATAGCACCAATCATTTTTAAAAGTTCTTCCTGAAACAACCGGCCTGGGCAAGGGGAGCTGCCAGGGATTATAAAACAGACTTCAGAGACAACATCAACTAAATGCAGTGGGTGGCCCTTGCTAAAATCCTGATTTTAATAAGCCACCAATAAAATGACATCTTTGAGACAAGCAAAACTGAGCATCACCCGGGCAACTTGATAACATTAAGAAATTATTATTAATGCCTCATCTCTTAGAGACACATCTTTAAGTATTTATAAGAAAAATGACATGCTGCCTGGGATTTGGTTGGGAGAGATGGGTGATTGTTACATTATCCTCTCTGTTCTTCCACATGTGTGAATGTCTTTTTCATTTTTTACTTTTTTAGAGCTGGGGTCTGGCTCTGTCTCCCAGGCTGGAGTGCAGTGGTACACTCAGAGCTCACTGCAACCTCAAACTCTTGGGCTCAACCAATCCTCCCGCCTCAGCCTCCCGAATAGCTGGGGATACAGGCAGTGTCCCCTTGCTCAGCTAATTTTTTTTTATTTTTGTAGACATGGGGTTTTGCCGTGTTGCCCAGGCTGGTCTCAAACTCCTGGGCTCAAGGAATCCTCCTGTCTCGACCTCCTAAAGCGCTGGGATTACAGGTATAAGCCACCATGCCTGGCTCTTGAAAGTCTTTAATAGAATTTTAAAAGGAAGAAAGACAGGGAGGGAGAATGGTTCTTCCTTAAAATGAACTCAATTCTACCTCCAAGTACCTTCTGGCAATCAGACCATGTTCAGCTTTCTGGGATCAAAGAGAATCAGGTCTTATCACATACCCTGCACCATCTGAAAATGAGCAGCATCTAAGTCCCTCTAAGTATCCTTTCCTCAAAAACAAGCTCTTCAAGGTCCTTTTGGAACTGAACTCACAGGTCACAGCAATGCCCTCCTTAAAAATGTGGGCTTCAGGACCAAAGAATTGTGAAGGTGTCTTTTGAGCAGCCCAGAGAAGCATGGGCCTCCTCGTCCACTGCAGGCCTCTGCCTTGGGCATCTCCCATTTGAACTCCAAGTATGGCCTATGCCCTGGGATGCCTCCTGATTCCATGCACAGGCTGGGAGCTTGTTCTCTACTCAGGGACAAGCTACCCCCAGTAGCTCCAGAGGCGGCAGCAGCAGCTTGCTCCTGTCTCACCTAAATCATCTCCACCCTCACCAAAGCCCTGGGTGAATATTATTAGCCCCTCTTCTACAGATGGGGAAGAGAAAGCAGGCCCAGGAGGTTAAGCGACTTGAAGTCACACAGCTTAGGAGTAAAGAGCTAAGATTTAAGCCCCAGTCTGTGGGGGTCCCCAAGAGTGGACTCATGACATTCAGATGTCTCCAGTCCCGCAGCCTTGCTCCCTGGCTCCAAACCCACCAAGAATGCCCCCTGGGTCATTCATCCATGTCCTTCTCCTCCCAGGAGTAACATAACACTCTGAAAGCAGAGACCACCTTCCCCACCTCCTAGCCCAGAACCTCCCAGGGGCTCAGCAAAGAGTTGCCCAAAACTTAACCAGTCCCAGACCTGCAGCCGCCAAACCACCAGGATGGCTCTCCACAAATCTTTCCAAGGCTCTCCCAGAAACCCCAACTGTGGCCCAAAGCCCAGTTCTCTTCACTCATTTCTAGTCTCTAGAGCAATTCAAAGAATAATGATCACAAAACCAGGCTTCATTCTTGGCGAACTCCATAGGGGAAACAGGACCAGAGAAGACACACATCTATAAAATAATGACTACTAGCCCCAGAATCACATGTGACTATTTCAGCTGGTATCAGAATTTAAAAGACTAGGGGCTGGGCACGGTGGCTTGCACCTGTAATCCCAGCACTTTGGGAGGCTAAGGTAGGTGGATCACGAGGTCAGGAGTTCAAGACCAGCCTGGCCAAGAGAGTGAAACCCCATCTCTACTAAAAATACAAAAATTAGCTGGGCGCAGTGGCAGGCACCTGTAATCCCAGCTACTTGGTAGGCTGAGGCAGGAGAATTGCTTGAACCCGGGGGACGAAGGTTGCAGTGAACCAAGATTGCACCACTGCACTCCAGCCTGAGCGACAGAGTGAGATGCCGTTTCAAAAAAAAAAAAAAATAGGAACGTTTAGTGTTTTGGTACTCTGAATGAGAGGGCTAGGGGAAACGTAAAAAAATGATGGTATACGTTGATGCTCCAGTTTCACACATTAATGTTTTAATTTCCCAAAAATGCATTCCTCAGAACACTGATGTCGCAAGATGCTCCATGATAAAGGACTCTGTGGTTAAATCAGTTTGGGAAACACTGCCTAATAAAGCCACTCTAGTGAAGCCCCAAAGCACACTGGCTTAGCCCTCTCAAGGGGCCTGCAGAAAAGAACCTAGCACTGCCTGGATGCATTTGACCACAGAACCCTTTTAGGGCATAGCAACACTAACATCCCAGCAAACTAGCAGTTAGAAGATGTTTCTTTGGGAAATGCTGATCTAGGCCTTTTGAAAGAAAGTCTCAATAGCCTTGTTATCCCGGATTTGAGACTGAAAAACCAAACCAATCCTAAACGGGATAAGGAGGAAGTATCCAAAGAGCAAAAATAACGAACATGCTTCAAGGCCTTTAGGGATGAAGATGTAAGTACTGAAAACACAAAGAAAATGTGTGAACATTCCTTGGCTGCCAGATATGAATGCCACTAGGATTGTTTGGTTAATGTCTGGCCTCCAAAGAGTCACATGTAGGACAGGTGTGGTGGCTTATTCAATAATGGATTGTTTGAGGCCAGGAGTTCGAGACCAGCCTGGGCAATATAGTGAGACCTTGTCTCTACTAAAAATAAAAAAAAAATTAGCTGGGCATGGTGGCACACGCCTGTAGTACCAACTACTCAGGAGGCTGAGGCAGGAGGATTGCTTGAGCCCAGGAGGTTGAGGCCACAGTAAGCCATGATCATGCCACTGCACTCAGCCCAAACAACAGAGCAAGACCCTGTCTCAAAAAAGAAAAGAGTCACAGATAACTACTGAACTGTCCTAAGACTTTCCAAACCATATCTGAAGGAAGAAAAAAAATTTTTTTTTTTGTAAGACAGAGTTTCGCTCTTGTTGCCCAGGCTGGAGTGAAATGGCACGATCTCAGCTAACTGCAGCCTCTGCCTCATGGGTTCAAGCACTTCTCCTGCCTCAGCCTCCCAAGTAGCTGGGATTACAGGCACACAACCACCACGCCCGGCTAAATTTTTGTATTTTTAGTAGAGATGGGGTTTCATCATGTTGGCCAGCTAGTCTCGAACTCCTAGCCTCAGATGATCCACCCGCCTCAGCCTCCCAAAATGCTGGGATTACAGGCATGAGCCACCACGCCCGGCCAAAAACAATTTTTAGAAGAAAAAAAGGAAAGAAAATGCTATCCACCCCCATGTCAGGGTGCTGTGAACAGTATGGATTTCCTTAATTAAAACTCAGAGTAAACAGTATGGTACCTTCTCAAAAAATTGAACACAGAATTACCATATGACCCAGCAAGTTCACTTCTGGGTATAAACCCAAAAGAAGAGAAAGCAGGGACTCGAAGAGATATTTGTACACCCATGGTGTCATAGCAGCATTATTCACAATGGCTAAAAGGTGAAAACAACCCAAATGTGTCCATCAACAGGTAAAGAAACAAATAAAATATAGAATATATATATATATATATATATGAATATTATTCGGCCTAAAAAAGGAATTTTGACATATACTAAAATATGGATGAACCTTGAGGACTTTATGCTTAGAGAAGTAAGCCAGTCACAAAAAGACAAATCTGTATTGACTTCACTTATAAAAGATACCTAAAGTAGTCAAATTCCTAGAAACGGACAACTTGAGAGGCCAAGGCGGCCAGATCGCTTGAATCCAGGAGTTCAAGACCAGCCTGGGCAACATGGCAAAGCCCCGTCTCTTAAAAAAATACAAAAACAAAAAATCAGTCGGGCATGGTGGCGGGCGCCTGTAGTCCCAGCTACTCAGGAGGCTGAGGTGGGAGAATGGCGTGAACCCGGGAGGCAGAGCTTGCAGTGAGCCGAGATCGCGCCACTGCACTGCAGCCTGGGCAAGAGAACGAGACTCCATCTCAAAAAAAAACAAACAAACAAAAAAAGGAGCTGGGTGTGGTGGCATGTGCCTATAGTCCCTGCTACTCGGGAGGCTGAGGTGGGAGGATCAATTGAGCATGGGAGGTTGAAGCTGCAGTGAGCCATGAGTACCACCGCACTCCATGCATTCCAGCCTGAGCAACAGAGTGAGACTCCATCTCCAAAAAAAAAAAAAGAAGAAAGAGAGAGAGAGAAAGACAGCAAGAAAGAAAGAAAGAAAAAAAGAGACAGACAGGAAATATTCATATAATGGTGACTGTCAAGGTCTAGGGGGCCATGTAGTTATTATTCAATAGGTACAGAGTTTCGATTTTGCAAGATGAAAAATTTCTAGAGATGGATGGTGCTGATGTTTGCACAGCAGTGTACAAATACTTAATGCTGGCTGGGCGCAGTGGCTCACGCCTGTAATCCCAGCACTTTGGGAGGCCGAGGCGGGTGGATCACCTGAGGTACGGAGTTCGAGACCAGCCTGGCCAACGTGGTGAAACCCCGTCTCTACTAAAAATACAAAAATTAGCCAGGCGTGGTGGTGGGCACCTGTAATCTCAGCTACCCGGGAGACTGAGGCAGGAGAACCCAGGAGGCGGAGGTTGTGGTGAGCCGAGATCATGCCATTGTACTCCAGCCTGGGCAACAAGAGCAAAACTCTGTCTCAAAAAAAAAAACAAAAAACAAAAAACTTAATGCTACTGAATTTGTACACTTAAAAAGTTATTAAAATAGTAAATGTTATATATATTTTTCCACAATAAAAAATGGTTCAAGGCCGGGTGCGGTGGCTCACGCCTGTAATCCCAGCACTTTGAGAGGCCAAGGTGGGCGGACCATTTGAGGTCAGGAGTTCAAGACCAGCCTGGCCAACATGGGGAAACCTTGTCTCTACTAAAAATACAAAAAAATTAGCCAGGTGTGGTGGCACATGCCTGTAGTCCCAGCTACTTGGGAGGCTGAAGGAGGAGAATTGCTGCAACTGGGGAGGCGAAGGTTGCATGAGCCGAGATCGCACCATTGCACTCCAGCCTAGGTGACAGAGTGAGACTCTGTATCAAAAAAAAAAAAGGTTCAAATGGTAAATTTCATGTTATGTAAATTATTATCACAATTTTGTTTAAATCCTCAAAGCAAATGGGTTATGAGCCTTAGTGTGAAATGAACGTCAAGGTCAACAGGAATTATCTACCAAGGGTTTAGAGGGATAGACTGCCAACATGGGACGCTCCAAACATCTCTATTTGGTTTAAAATGTTTCTGTAGCACTTTTGTGGAACGCAGTCTCAAAAAGATCAATAGAGATACACCGTTCAGAGGAATGCAGTCTATCCCAGGTAAAAGGCGAAAAAAAAATCCAATTTCCCCCCAGCGCAATCCCATTTAAGATTCTTCCCTGCTGAACACACATAGCATCCCTACTGTCCAGGCCAACACGCAGCTCAGCCCTCTTTCTCTATGTTTGCTACCTCTGTGGCTCACATCTTCCCAGGGTTTCAGGAAACGACTATAGAGCCCCCTCGCATGGGGCAGAACATACAGGTGGTTGGAATGAGGTGGGACAAAAAAAAATGAGACAACGGCCGAGAGTGGTGGCTCATGCCTATAATCACAGCACTCTGGGAGGCTGAGGTAGGCGGATCACCTGAGGTCAGGAATTCGAGACCAGCCTGGCCAAGATGGCAAAATCCCGTCTCTACTAAAAATATAAAAATTAGCCGGGGGTGATGGCACACACCTGTAATCCCAGCCACTCGGAAGGCTGAGACAAGAGAATCACTTGAACCTGGGAGGCAGAGGGTGCAGTAAGCTGAGATTGCACCACTGCACTCCAGCCTGGGCGACAGAGCAAGGCTCCATCTCAAAACAAACAAACAAAAAAAAAACTGAAACAAAATATTTATCCTACTCTGCTTACTTTTTCAGGAAATGGAAAACCAGAGTATCAAAAACCACTCAACACTAACATTAAATCAGATTAACAGCAATCCTGATGTAGAGCTGGAAGGGCCCCCAAAATCGAGTCCAACCCAATCACCCAACCTCCTTGGACCAAATGCCACCTGGGAAGTGCTCAAAACCCCACAGGAATGAGCAAGTCTCCCGTCAATGCTCAACCTCTTCTGTTTTGACTGTTGAACTGGGGGAAAAAAAAAAAACAAGCACCAGGAAGCTAAAAGGCTCTGCCAAGGTCAAGATTTTGCAGTTAGGAACAGATCTCCAGTTCAGGGCTTTTTTTTTTTTTTTTTTTTTTTTTTTTAAAGAAAAGTTCCTCAGTATTCTTTTGAGGACATCAAGTTGACATTCAAATTCTATGTGTAGAAAGGGAATGACTTTCTACTCTTAGACAGCGTGGGTGCTCCACATGGCTCCTGGCAGCCAGCTCCACACCACCAGTACCTGATGGGCAACCTTGGGAACTTCAGACATCAATGTCACACCACCTGCTTCCATCACAGACATACCGTGGGCGGTGATATCCCTGTGTACATCTGGGGCTTGCTCAAGCCTTCCTCCTCTCCCACAGCCTCTGCCACCATGAGGTCACCACTTAGGAATCTGCATGTATATTTGAAGATGATCTGGACAAGGATACATCATTCACTCTACACACAGCTGACTATTCATTCGTTCAACAAAAAATTATCGAACACCTATCTTGTACTAGGCTCTATTCTGGGCATGAGGACTATAACAGCAAATTCAGCTCAGGGAGGACAGCTCTGACACCTGCTTGGCATAGTATACAAGGAGCTCCCACAGAACCCTCAGAAACACCAGGAGATTCCCAGTTTTCTGGTTCTAAGGCTAGTTGCTGTCTACTACTGCCACTGTTGTGCTATATTACTCAGGGTAACAAAATGCTCTTCCATTTTTCCTACCATGGATTGTCAAATAGCACAGTGAAGTAGTTAGTGTTTTAATTACTTTGTAGAGGAGATAAGCTCAGAAGGGTTAAAAACCTTGCTCAAGGTCTAAAACCTTGTAAGGTCTGATCATTACTACCTAGACCCACCATCCCACTCCAGCAATGACCGCCTGTGCTAACTGTATTATCGCACAAAGGTGGTAATGCTTGGAGTGGACATTCATCTGCTCTTTTACCTGCGTGACATCGCTGCTGCTTGTCTTCCTTTAGACAACTGCTCTGCCTCCCTCTAAAAACCCACATAGTGTTGGAATGGGCTGCCAATCACAGTAGCCCATCACCTTACCCTGGGGTTCCACTGCTGGGCACAGTGCCAAAGCTGAGCCAGTCTTAGTCCTCTAGCCCTGGCCACAGTGACCGGGCCTCATGTGGACACATAACACTGGCCAGACCAATCAGAATCCTACCATGAGGTTTGTCTGCCTGGGCTGATTGGATAGAGCTCCCTTTCTTCCCTGGTCAGGGGCTGTGAACCTGAACAGAGGGGCCTGAGGTCATGTTCAGACCCGTGGGAAAAGCCCACAGCATCGATCCAAGAGGTCAAACGTCCCAAAGGCCAGTTTCCACCATCCATCCAAAGGTTGTGGAATATTCTAAGTCAATACATTTCTCTTTTTCTACCTAAGATGATCTGAGCTAAGTTTCTGTCATTTTGCAATAAAGGTACCCTGAAATGATACACAGATAAAATCTGCCCTTCACTTAAAAACCTCTTCTCAACCATTAATTTCAAATGACTCTGCCACTTCCTCTTAAATAACACAATTAAAACCACCTAAATTAGCCATGCAGGGTGGCATGCGCCTGTAATCTTAGCTACTAAGGAGGCTGAGGCAGGAGGATGGCTTGAGCCCAGGAGTTTGAGGCTGCAGTGAGCTATGATTGCACCACTGCACTCCACTGTCTCTAAAAAATAAGTAAATAAACAAACAAAAGAACCAAAAGAAAAACCACAACAGCTGGAGCTTTTACTTATGTCCCTTGCCCTGCTGACCCTCCAGGGCAGAGGGGATGAAGAAAAGGTGGCTGGTACCCGAAGGAAGTGGAGAGAGAACAAAAGGCCAGGCAACCTCTGCTGAATAATAAATAACCCACACCTGACAATCAGCACCCATCTGCATTAGTCCCACTAGAAAAGCCTGGCAGGGTTATTCCCTTGGGGAAAAAAAACAAACTTCCAGCTCTAATTTCTGACAGTGTACAATGCCTAAATTCAAACCTCCCACTCAGCCTAGCCATTAAGGTCCTCCAGATTACCTCTGCATCCCCAATTCCCTTCCACCCAGAGCCAAGGCCAAACCCCTGCTCTGCTCAGGCTGGGTAAACACATGGCTCCTCTCTATGGCTCAGCCTGTGCGGTCCAGCCTACGCAGCCCACACGTCCTCCCTCCATGGCTCCATGCATTCAGAGCTTCACTTCAACACCAAGTCCCAGCACATTCGTGAAGCTCTCCTCGGCTTCTCCAGCGGACGCTGCTGGCTCCATTCTCTTAAGTTTGATGAAGCAAGCCAGCCAGTTCACTAGGAAAGTAAAGAGGAGGCACAGGAGGTGTGGGGAGTGGGAACGAGAAGGAAACATCAGGCAATGAGCACGCGAGAGGTCCAGCCAAGTTCTGCCATTTCTGCCTCCCAATAGAGGCCTGGTGGGAATGACTTGAGGAGTCCCACATTTAGATGGTAATGAGAGCCACTAAAGGTGAATGAGAGTATCTGGGGAAAGTGTGTAGCATACCGAGTTTTTTATAAAAGAAAAAGCCTGTTTGTGCATCTCTATCAGTTGACCTGTCTCATAATGTCACTCTCATGAGCGTCCCATTCCCCCAACAAGGCGGCAAGCTACGGACTAGAATTACATCCTGTGCACCCCGGCCCCTGTCTACACCCCAGCCCCACCTGGGCCAGGCACTTCAATGCTCCCGGTGACAGAGGCAGGCAGTGCAGCACCATTAGCCCCATCTTACAGATGAAGATACTGAGGCTCACCCCAGGGGCAGGGAGTTGAGAATCCTCAAGGGAAAAAACTCAGGTGTTTCCCCAAATCAAAGGGAAAAAACAAAGGACTGCATGGGGCTCCAAGTGACCAAGCTAGACTTGGTTACTGGGAAAAACAAGAGACCCAACTGAGCCACTCAGAAGTAAACAATTCTGTCTTCTCCCTACCACCAGCTGGGGCAAAGGTGTTCGCTTGTTCCCCGCAGATCCATGTATCAAATCCGGGACAAAAGAAAGCTACATAATTTCAGAGTCCCACAGTGACTGGAAATGTCCTGAAATTGTAGTGGGAAGGCCTAACCAGGGAACAGGAAAAACCACCCCAGACAAGGAATCAGGGGCACTGGGCTTGGCCTTGACTCAGGCACCTTTCTGCCCTGCGACTTCTTCCTTACAGACAGGGCCCTGGAACCAAAGATCATAAGACACCACTCATCTCCCTGGGGCTGCCACAGAGTTAATGAGATATGAAGATAGGACACAAAATCCTGAATGACAATGCCCTATCAATACCGGAATAAGAGCCACACCTCCAACAAAAAAACCACAACACAGTGTGTCTCCTAGTCACTCCACACCCCCAGGCCTGAGCGTGGTAGGTTTAAATGTCTGGGGATCTAACTCAGCAAGAGTTGCCCCGATGGGTTGGGTTTGCTCACCTGCCCACCAACACCCAGGCACATGTCCTCCCCAGTTTCCTTCCAGTTCCAGGCCCCACGTGGTAGGCTGCTGCCGATGCAGACTCCCTCAGCACCCAAGTGCCAGTGGGGGATGGGCATTCTGGATCAGGAGCCCACACAGGGTGTGGAATCCATCAAGGAAGCTCCTAGGTGGGTGATGGCATCATCTCCAACAGAGAATCGGTGCCAAAGCAGCCACCCCTTGACGCTAAGGATCCCAGGGAGCCAGCTGGTTCCTCTCTCAGGCTCCGCAATGGCCTCGAACTGAGGCCAATTCAAACCCAGAGCTGCTGCCCAGAGCACAGAGTGGAAATCACTCAGGAGTGGAAGGAGGCAGGACCAAGTGCTGGGTTTTCCTGACTATGGCTCCTCAAGGAAGAAGACTTCCATTCCTTCAGCCAGAGCCGCTCTCTTATGCACTGAGCTTTGACCATAAGGAATACTTCCTGGCTAAAAGAAAAAAAAGCAAAAAAGTGGAGACCTACAACACAGCAATTTACCCTTCACAAAGGAGCCTCCCCTGCGCCGGGGCAGTGGCTCACGCCTGTAATCCCAACACTTTTGGGAGGCTGAGGCAAGCAGATCGCTTGAGCTCAGGAGTTCGAGACCATCCTAGACAACATGGAGAAATGCCATCTCTACACAATATACAAAAATTAGCTGGTGTGGTGGCATGTGCCTGTGGTCCCAGCTACTTGCGGGGCTGAGGCAGGAGGATGGCTTGAGACCAGGAGGCGGAGGCTGCAGTGAGCCGAGATTGTGCCACTGCACTCCAGCCTGGGTGACACAGTGAGACCCTGTCTCAAAAAAACAAAAGCCCCCAACACGCCACTGTTTGCTGACACACCATGTCACCCTCTTCCCCAGGGGCTTCAGGTGGCATCTTGCCATACCAAATGCTGTCCTAACTTTTTTCTTTCTTTTTTTTTGAGAAGGAGTCTTGCTCTGTCACCTAGGCTGGAATCCAAGGGCACCATGTCAACTCACTGTAACCTCCACTTCCCAGATTCAAGTGATTCTCCTGCCTCAGCCTCCCAAGTAGCTGGGACTACAGGCGCCCACAACCACGCCCAGTTAATTTTTGTATTTTTATTAGAGACGGGGTTTCACCATGTTGGCCAGGCTGGTCTCGAACTCCTGGCCTTAAGAGATCTGCCCGCCTCGGCCTCCCAAAGTGCTGGGATTACAGGCATGAGCCACCACACCCAACCAGCGTTTTTCTAATGCATTAAGTAAAATGAACTTAACTTCTCCTTGAAAAGTATTTTTCTAAGGATTTCATGACCCTCTCCAAAGTCACATAACTCTGCATTGTGGTAAAACTGGGGTCTGAAATCAATGCCCTAGGGGATAAAATCCAAACCCTAATCTCTGCCTTCCTTAGAGGTCAAGACTAGCTCCTAGAACTTCAGCCCCATGAGGCCCCACATTCTCCACCAGACACGGAAAGGGTGAGACCTAATTAATGGCAATTGATCCATCAATCAATTTTCAGAGATTAAGGCGAGCGTTGATTCACATGCTTCCCAACGCAGACTTCCAGTCTGTACTAAGTTCTGTGCTTTACGAAAGACTTTCAGAAACAGATCTTAACTTCTTCATTCAGAGATAGATTAGATAGATACATAGATACAATTAAAAAGAAAAAAATTACTTTGTTGAGATCCCCTCTGTCCTTATCCTCATGGCCACATCTGACAGTCCCTTCCTAGCATCTCCCAAAGCACTATCCCAGGAAAGGACTAGGTTTGCCCAGTAACTCTGACATGACCACAACTGGGGGGAAAGAATGCAGGTTTGAGGGACAGAGATGCAAGTCAGAAGCTCAAAGTGGAGACGGGAGGGCCACCAATGAAATGACCTGCTGTGTGGCCAGCAATTTAGTCTCTCTGTCAGTTTCCTGCAGCTACAAAAATTGAGGTTAAGATGGCCAACGTAAGAGAGCTGTTACCAGGAATGCCTTATAAAATCATTCCCTTAATAAGTGGGGCTTTTAACAGCCAAATAAATGGGTCCCATCAGCCTTTGACCTTCAGGTTGCTAAGGGCAGTTTCTCAGCCCTCTCGGTTCACTTGTTTTTCTTTTATACATATATCCTTATTTATTTTTACTGTACCTATCGATTCACTGTTAAAACAGGGACAAGACCTAGAAAGATGGCACTTTGTTTCCTGGCTCTGAACAAGTTAAATCAAACAATAGGTTATAATTCAAAATTCCTGGTGCCCAATACTTTCTGAGCATTTTAACCACTCCAAGCCAGAGTTTTCTCTCTGGCAAAGAATAACAGAAAGCTCACATAGTGGCAACGACAACTGAACGTGATAAAGCAGAGCGCCTGCCACAACAGTAGATGCCCAATAAATGCTAGTTCTCCTCCTCCCTCAGTGCCATGTCTTCTTCCTCCAGCTGCCTTGTCTAAAAAGGCTGGCTTCCACACTCCACGGCCAGGCCAGGACAAGCCTACCACTTGTCAGAAACTCCCGCCAGTATCCGTTCCTGCACCCAGACACACACTTACAAATCAGTCATCCCCAAGACCAAAGACACAGGGGTTCCAAAAGGCACCCTCAAGGGAACCAGTCACCAGCCTTCCTCGTTAAGCAGCTCTGTGCTCTCAGGGAGAGAACTTAGCCCCAGCAGCCACTACTAGGATTTTCCCATGGTGCAATGCAACTTCCCCAACTTTTCCGGGCCCAGTTTCCAAAGAAACCCAGGCAGGCGTTGTGCACAATCAGCCACCAGTCTGGGAGAGACTGGGCTCTGAGCAGAGAAAAAGGAGCTGGGACAGCCAGAAAATGAAAAAGCAGTTGTGGCCCCGGCACAGGATGGCAGCGACCAAAACTTAAGAGTAGGGGTCCTGGCCCAAGTCCCATTCTTCTGGACGGTACCCTTGGTTAAAGGCTAGCACAGGGTGCCAAAGCTAGCGGACGGTGAGGAGCCTCAGAAAAGGGACTGATGGACATCCTCCGAGGTACCCCCTACCCGCTACTGGACCTGGTGGCCCCCGGGGACCCTGTCGTCGAGGCACCTGAGAGTGAAGGCCTTCAGCGGGGGGCATTGTTCACAGCGAACGGCGGGACTGGGGGAGGCGGCGGGACTTCGGGATCCGCGCACCGCCGCCTCCCCAACTGGGCCAGAGGAGCGAGTCCACCGAGGCCATCGCCAGGTGGAGCGGCGGCCCCGGCGAGGTACCCTCGGCCAGCAGGAGGGAGAAGCGGAGGGCGCGTCCCAGAGGCGGGGGCCAAGGGTCTGCCACTCACCCGCGCCTTCGGCGGGCTGCGGCGGCCCGACGACGCCGTTCAGGTAGAGAATGGGCAGCAGGTGAGGCTGCGTCTTCTCCAGCGCCGCCCGCAGGTCCTGGAAGTGGTCCCGCTCCTTGGCCAAGAGCA
Source organism: Homo sapiens (assembly GCF_000001405.40). Lineage (NCBI taxonomy): Eukaryota > Metazoa > Chordata > Mammalia > Primates > Hominidae > Homo > Homo sapiens. The sequence goes on from NC_000010.11 coordinate 77,926,346, forward strand.
GCTTGAGCAGCAGCTCCGCCTTGGCGCCTCCCGCCTCCTCGTCCAGCTGCCGCCGCTCGCCGGGACTGAGCGCTCCCGCGGCCTCGAGCAGCCCGAGCACGGCTTCCACCTCCGTCATGGCCTGGGCCAGGCTCTGCTGACACTGGGCGAGCAGCTCCCGGCGCTGGGGCTCCATGGTGGCGGGCCGCGCCGCCCCGCCCCGCCGGACGCCTCCCGGGCCCCCCGAGGCCGGCGGGCGGGCAGGCGAGCACCTCGGCAGCAGCCCTAGGGCGCCGGGAGCCGTGAGGCGGCGGGAGCCATGGGCCGGGGCCTGGGCGGGCTGGGGGCCCGGGGCGGCGGGCGGCGCTCAGCAGCGGCCGCCTCCCGGGCTCCGGAGCGCAGCCATGTTGGCTGCCGCGGCGGCGGGACTGGAAGAGGAGGAGGAGGAGACGGAGGAGGAGAAGGAGGAGGCGGAGGTGGGGACGGCGGCCGGGGCGCGCCCCGAGGCCGGGCTCCAGCCGGGCATGCTCCCCCTCCCCCTCAGCCTCCGCGCGCGCCGCCCGCCCCGCGAGAAAACTCGCCCCGAAAGCCGGGCCGCGCGCCGCCCCCAGAGCAAGACTACAACTCCCGGGAGAAAGTCGCCTGGGCCGTGTTTCCCAGGCTCCCGACAGCTCCGGCCCGGCTCGGAGGCCGCCTCGGCCCCCGTGCACCCCGGCCCGGCTCACCGGGGCCCCGCGGCCGCCACCCGCTCCCCCGTGGCCACAGCCCCGCCGCCGCCGGCCCGTCCCTCCTCTCTCCCCTCCCCAGGCCGTCCCTCCGGGAGGCGGCAGCAGGGGAGGAGGGGACGGGCGGAGGGGAGGGGTCCCCGGCCCGCCCGCTAGGCGGGGACGCGGCGCCGGCTGGTTCCCGGTCCCCCGAGGCCCAGGCGCAGCCGGGGGTGGGGGACACGGAGTCAGGCCTGGCACGCGGCCAGCCCACAAGCTGCTGGAGACCCCCTCATACAAATCTTGCCCCCAGTCCAGAGGGTCCTAATCTGAGAACTCCAAAATACAGCCTGGAGACAAATGGTGGGGAGGGTTTCCCCTAAATTTGGACATCTCCAGATTAAGACCTCCGCCGAATCCGTGAGGCTTTCCCTCTCCAAGGAGCTCCTAAGAGAATTTCCCAGTAAAATCGCCTCAACTGCGGTAAATAGGCTGTTCCCCGCGCCAGCATTTGAGAAGAGCTGGTCCCCAGAGTGTAAAGGAGTTAGGATGTTGGCAGGAGGAAGGATGTGTCGCCGGATGAGGAAAAGAAAGGTGGGTGTCTGCGGTGCAGTCCTTGGTCTTTCTGGCAAGTGAGGCGCTCTCCCCCTAAATGTCTCAGAGGGAGACAAATCAGCGGACTACCTTGCTTCCTTTGATGACTTGGAAAGGATCTGCAGTCCCCCTTAAAGCCCAAGAATGTCTTCTCTTCCACGACAGCCGTTTGTGGACACATACTGCTTACCTCCCTGACTGCAGGACAAGGTCCTTCAAAGCTGGAACTCTGACTGCGCTCAGTGATCCCGCAGTGCTCCTCTGTAGAGTGGGAACCCAGGTCCATTTCAAATATCTACGTTGGAATGAGTGGATCTCGCTGGGGGTGAGAGGCACTTTGTCTACCCACACTGCCAGTCCCAGCCACATGCCTCCTCCCTTCCCTCAAAAAGCAGTGTCTTCTTAGTCTGCTTCTTCAAGGGGAGAAGTCGTTTTTATTTATGGAAACGAACTCACTATATGGTAGAAAGAACAAGAGTATCAGAATTTGCACTTTGGACTTGGACTCCCCTCTAAGCAGCTGCACAAGGTGGAACAAACCAATAATCCTTGCTGATCTGTTTTGTCCTTAGGAAAAATGGTGGAGGGAGAATATTAGATCAGGGGTTCTTAGCCTTGGCTTCATGAATAAGCTCAAGGATGTCAATGAAGCTTTTGACATGATCTCAACTTTTTTGTGAACATTTATATATTTTTCTGGAATGGGGTCCATAGAGTTACAAGTTCTTTAAGACCTCCAGATGGACCCCAATATGGCAGAAATGAACTATTTAAAGATACCTGCCTGCTCCCGTAGTCTGACCCTCTATGGCTAAGCAAGGTTTTAGAGGAGTGGAAGGCTGGCCATTGCACAGTATCAGGGTTCCAGACAGGCTCCCTGGCTCTTCCCTCCCAGTCCTGCTCCTGAGATATAGTTCTTTCTGGCCGCCACTTCCCTTAGGGCAACCCCAGAGCTTAAATCATCTGCAAGGCAGTCACCTTTCAGGCACCTTTCATCCGGCACCTGTGTTCTTAGCTGGATTAACTAGAAAGCTAGTTGGAGGAAGGAAGGTGAAAGTGGAGGAAGGGGAAAAGAGGAAAAGTTGGAGACGAATCTGGCTTATGGTTAGAAGCATATTTTTTGGCCAGGCAAAGTGGCTCACGCCTGTAATCCCAGCACTTTGGGAGGCTGAGGTAGGCGGATTGCCTGAGCTCAGGAGTTGGAGACCAGCCTGGCCAACGTGGTAAAACCCCGTCTCTAACAAAAATACAAAAATTTAGCCAGGCATGATGGTGCAAGCCTGTAATCCCAGCTGTTCAGGAGGCTGAGGCATGAGAATTGCTTGAACCCAGGAGGTGGAGGTTGCAGTGAGCTGAAATTGCACCACTGCACTCCAGGCTGGGTGACCGAGCAAGACTCTGTCTCAAAAAAAAGAAAAAAAAACTTATTTTTTGAGACAGAGTCTCACTCTGTCGCCCAGGCTGGATTGCAGTGGGGCAAACACAGTTCACTGCAGCCTCAATTTCTTGGGCTCAAGCAACTATCCTGCCTCAGCCTCCCGAGGAGTAGCTGGGATCATAGGTGCTTGCCACCACACCTGGCTAATTTTTTAAATATTTTGTAGACACAGGGTCTTGCCACATTGCCCAGGCTGGTCTTGAACTCCTGGGCTCAAGTTATCCTCCCGCCTCGGTCTCCCAAAGTTCTGGAATTACAGATGTTAGTTACCACCCGGACCAATTTTAGGATTCCTTTAGCCAGTGACCTTGGTGTGACCTTGTACTTCTGCAGCATTTTATACCTTCTGCGGCACACCCTTGTAGTGGGTCGAATTGTGTTCCCCCAAAAGATATGTTCTAGTCCTAATTCCCAGTACCTGTGAATGTGACTTATTTAGAAATAGGGTCTTTGCAGATGTAATCTAGTTCAAATGAGGTCATACTGGATTAGGGCGGGTCCTCATCCAATAACTGTTGTTCTTATTAGAATAGGGAAATTTGGATGCAGAGACACAGAGAAAATGCCATGTGAAGATGGATCAGAGACAGAAGTGATGCGGCTGCAAGCCAAGGAATGTGAAGAATGGCCAGCCACCACCGGAAGCTAGGGGAGACGCCAGCACAGATTCTCCCTGAGAGTATCCAGAAGAAACCAACCCTCCAACACCTGGATTTCAGACTTCTGACCTTGAGAAGTGTGAGCCAATAAAACAACTGCAGTGGAGTCAGTGGTTCTTGTTTTAAGCCACCCAGTTTGTGGTCATTGGTTATGGCAGTCCTAAGAAACTCAAACTCACCTCAGCACAGTGGGGAGGTGAGAAGGACAAAGACGGGGGTCCCTATTTTACAAATCACCCTATCACTTCACTCTTCTACTGCCTAAGGACATCTCTGTAGATTTACCCACCTTTCCTACTTTCTTCTGGTCTTAGAAAAAGAGAGCTCCTTGTCTTTAAGGAGAGCCCTTCCATGCTCTGGATATAATCTGTGTATCCCTCTCCTCCCCTGCACACACGCACTCACACACAGTCTGCTTCTGCTTTGGTTTGGGCTCCTTCTCATTTGTCAAAAACAGGCTTGAGTCTCCCCATTCTCAAGGGTCCTCCCTTTCCTCTCATGTTTCCTTCGGAAACAATCATTGCTTGACATTGGGACCTCCACATCTCATAGACTGCTCACCGCTTGGTTGGTGCTTTACAATCAGCTTCTTTTTTTTTTAATTCTTGTGTTTGCTTTTTTTAAATTTATTTTATTTGTTTTTCTGGAGACAGAGTCGCACTCTGTCACCCAGGCTGGAGTGCAGTGGCGTGATTTTGGCTCACTGCAACCTCCACCTCCCGGGTTCAAGCGATTCTCCTGCCTCAGCCTCCCGAGTAGCTAGGACTACAGGTGCACACCACCAAGCCCGGCTAATTTTTGTATTTTTAGTAGAGACGGGGGTTTCTCCATGTTGGCCAGGCTGGTCTCGAACTCCTGACCTCAGGTGATCCACCCGCCTCGGCCTCCCAAAGTGCTGGGATTACAGGCATGAGCCACCAAGCCCAGCCTATTTATTTATTTTATTCATTTATTGGAGACAAGAGTCTTGCTCTGTCACCCAGGCTGGAATGCAGTGGGCTCACTGCAACCTCTGCCTCCTAGGCTCAAGTGATTCTCCTGCCTCAGCCTCCTGAGTAGCTGGGATTACAGGTGCGTATGACCACACCTGGCTAATTTTTTTTTTTTTTTTTTTTTTTGAGACGGAATTTCACTCTTGTTGCCCAGGCTGGAGTGCAATGGCATGATCTCAGCTCACCGCAACCTCCACCTTCCAGATTCAAGCGATTCTCCTGCTTCAGCCTCCTGAGTAGCTGGGATTACAGGCATGTGCCACCACACCTGGCTAATTTTGTATTTTTAGTAGAGACGGGGTTTCTCCATGTTGGTCAGGCTGGTCTCGAACTCCCAACCTCAGGTGATCTGCCCTCCTCGGCCTCCCAAAGTGCTGGGATTACAGGTGTGAGCCACCACACCTGGCCTTAATTTTTGTATTTTTAGTAGAGATGTGGTTTCACCATGTTGGCCAAGCTGGTCTTGAACACCTAGCCTCAAGAGATCCACCTCTTGGGCCTCCCAAAGTGCTGGATTATAGGCGTGAGCCACTGTGCCCCGCCCTATTTATTTATTTTTAGAGATAGATTCTTACTCTGTCTCCCAGGCTGGAGTGCAGTGGCACCATCATACCTCACTACAGCCTCTAACTCCTCAAGTGATCCTCCCACCTCAGCCTCCCAAGTAGCTGAGACTGCAGACACCATCATCACACCTAGGTATTTTTTTTTTTATTTTTGTAGAGACAGAGTCTCGTTATGTTGCCGAGGCTAGGTTCAAACTCCTGGCCTCAAGCTATCCTCCTGCCTTGGCCTCCCAACGTGCTGGGATTACAGACATTAGCCACCATGCCCCACCTATAATCAGGCTTCTGAGCACAACTCCCCATAGAAAACTGTTGTCTCCCATCCTGATGCCACCTCCAGGCCTTATCCTTCACACCTCCTCTACTGTCAACTCTGCTGGGCTTCATCCACTGGGGACATCTTGTTCTCCCACCTTCCTCTCCCTCCCCCCTGGCTCCTTTCTCTCTAAGGTTGACTCTTCAATCCTCTTCTGTCCCCATGCTCCTTCCCTCCTGCAGAGGAGCTGGACAGAAATGAGCTCAGTGCCCAGCTCTGACACTCACTGGCTATGTATCCTGGGGCTAGGTACTGTACTTCCCGGAGCCTCAATTTCTGCATCTCTAAAGTGGCAATAAATATCACCCTTTGGTAGGGTTATTAGGAGAAGTAAATGATAGGACTTATACAAAGCCCTCCACAATGCCTGGTGTCTGGCAGGCATATAAACTCCCTAATGTTAGAGCAGGCAACTCCTGTAGGTCAGAATGCCTGACTGAAATGCTGGCTTGGCAACTTATGAGCTGAGCGATGTTGGGTAAACCTCCATCTGCCTCGTTTTCCTCCTGTGTGAAATGGGGATGTCAATAATAGTATCAAAGTAGCTAGTGCTGAATCCGTGGTAAGTACCACTGTTCTTTTGGCTTCCCTCTGCGAGGAAAGACTCCACAGCATGTAGCAACAGGTTTTGAACAGATGTTTTTAGTTTCATGAATGAGTGGTTGTGGACTCTAGCTGAAAGATTTCCATTTAGCTTGTCTTCAGACAGTGAGGCAGGGGCCCCCAGTACCTTGTTATCTGCTGTATCTCCACAGCACTGTACCGGGCATGTGGTAGGTGCTCAATAGATAGTATTTTTAATTAATAGGTGAACATATGAATGAATGAACAAACTAAAGAGTTTTGCATTGAGGCCCTACTTCAAAATAATATCAACTAAAAATGGGAAGATGGGGAAGGAAAGTACCTCAAAAAGGAGAAGTGGCTGGGCGCCGTGGCTCACACCTATAATCCCAGCACTTTGGAAGGCCGAGGCAGGATTGCTTGAGCCCAGAAGTTTGAGACCAGCCTGAGCAACATAGTGAGACCAGAGTCTATAAAAAATAAAAAAGGAGAAGCATCAGAAGCAAAATGAGAGAAGGTCACAAATTCTCCCTGGTGCCACAGGAAATGGGTGGCAGGTTGGGAACTTAATGCAGGGACCATGAACTCTGCCCACTGCAGAGTGGCCACTGCTGGGGCGCTAAGCACCAGGAGCTCCACCCTGTCCTGCTTTGTCCTGCTGATAAACTTGGCCTACCAGGCCCCACTGCTCTTCCTAGCTGCTCAGGTGACTGAGGAGGAGGATTACTTGAACCCAAGTTCGAGGCCAAACAGGGTAACATAGTGAGACTCTGCCTCTAAAATATGTTCTTTGGGTAATAAAAAAGAAAAAAGATGCCCCTGCTCAGAAATTCAGACCTAAACTGATGGCACCAAGGCAAATATAGCCCTGAGGGCACAGTCCCCTCAAGCTTTCTGCAAGCACAGTGCTGTCTGGGAGCATTAACTCTTTGACTCTGAGCCCATTCTTCACACTTCAGCTTAGATGTTAACCTTTAGGAAGCCATACTTGCCTTACCAATCTCCTTGAAAAGGGTTTGGTGTCTCTGCTACATGCTCTCATTGCAACTTTTTACTCCCTTTATTAAGGTTTATCAGTGTGTATTTTTTGTTTGTTTTTGTTTTTGTTTGGGTTTTTGTTTTTGTTTTTTGTTTTTTGTTTTTTTTGAGATAGAGTCTCGCTCTTGTTCCCCAGGCTGGAGTGCAATGGCGTGATCTCAGCTCACTGCAACCTCCGCCTCCTGGGTTCAAGCAATTCTCCTGCATCCTGCCTCAGCCTTCCAAGTACCTGGGATTACAGATGCCCGCCACCACGCTCGGCTAATTTTTGTATTTTTAGTACAGATGGGGTTTCACCATGTTGGCCAGGCTAGTCTCAAACTCCTGCCCTCAGGTGATCCACCCCACTCAGCCTCCCAAAGTGCTAAGATTACAGGGGTGAGCCACGGTGCCCGGCTTATCAGCATAATCCCAGCTACTCGGGAGGCTGAGGCAGGAGAATCGCTTGAACCTGAGAGGCAGAGGTTGCAGTGAGGAGAGATCGTGCCACTGCACTCCAGCCCGGGTAACAGAGTAAGACTCTGCCTTAAAAAAAAAAATTGCGTTTCTTTTCTATATTCCTGTGATAAACAGAATAGCTCCCCTTCCAAGCTCCCAAAAGACAACCATGCTCCAGTCCCTGGAACCTGTGAAGATGTTTTGTTATATGGCTACAGGGACTTCACAAATGTGATTAAAGTTCTGTACTTTAAAATACGGAGAGTAGGCCGGGCACGGTGGCTCACACCTGTAATCCCAGCTACTTGGGAGGCTGAGGCAGGAGAATTGCTTGAACCCGGGAAGCAGAGGTTGCAGTGAGCTGAGATCGCACCACTGCACTCCAGCCTGGGTGACAGAGTGAGACTCTGTCTCCAAAAAAATAAAAATAAAAATAAAATAAAAAAGGGCAAGTAGGCTGGGCACGGTGGCTCACACCTGTAATTCCAGCATTTTGGGAGGCCGAGGTGGGTGGATCACCCGAGGTCAGGAATTTGAGACCAGCCTGACCAACATGGAGAAACCCCCGTCTCCACTAAAAATACAAAATTATCCGAGTATGGTGGTGCATGCATGTAATCCCAGCTACTTGGGAGGCTGAGGCAGGAGAATTGCTTGAACCTGGGAGGCAGAGGTTGCAGTGAGCCAAGATCACGCCATTGTTCTCCATCCTGGGCAATAAGAGTGAAACTCCATCTCAAAAAAAAAAAAAAAAAGAAAAGGAAAAAATAAATACATAAAGTAAAATAGGGAGAGTATCCTTGAGTATCCAGGCAGGCACAATCTAATCTGATAATGTGAGCTCTTAAAAGCAGAGAATTTCCTCCACCTGGAGGCAGTAGAAAGGGAAGTCAGAGAGATTCCAAGCATGAGAAGGATTTGACTGGTCACTATTGGCTCTGAGATGGAGGGGCCCACATGCAAGGAGCTAAGAGTGGTCCCCAGCTGACAGCCAGCAAGGAGCCAGGAACCTCACTCTTACAATCACAAGGAACTGGATTCTGGCAACAACTGAATGACCTTGGAAGTGGATTCTTCCCAGAGCCCTGGAGAAGATCCCAGCGGCTACCACCTTGATATCAGCCTTATAAAAGCCTGAGCAGAGAAACCTGCCAAGCTGACCTGGACCTGTCATCTACAGAGCTGAGAAATACTAAATGGGTGCTGTTCTTTTTTTTTGTTTTTTTGTTTTTTTTTTTTTTTGAGACAGAGTCTTGCTCTGTCGCCTAGGCTGGAGTGCAGTGGCACGATCTTGGCTCACTGCAAGCTCCGCCTCCCTGGCTCATGCCATTCTCCTGCCTCAGCCTTCCCAATAGCTGGGACTACAGGCGCCCGCCACCACACCTGGCTAACTTTTTGTATTTTTAGTAGAGATAGGGCTTCACTATGTTAGCCACATGGTCTCAATCTCCTGACCTCGTGATCCGCCCGCCTCGGCGTCCCAAAGTGCTGGGATTACAGGCAGGAGCCACCGTGCCCAGCCTTAAATGGGTGCTGTTCTAAGGCTCTAAGTTGGTGGGTTTTTGTTATGGCATTAGGAGACCAACAATCCCCAATGAGCTATGAGCTCTGTGGGAGCAGAAGAGACATCGACTTGTTCATTATTGTACCCTCTGTACCTACCTGCCTAGATATTGCCTAGGACACTGCCCTAGGCACTCAAAAACACCCTGTGATAGGAAGAATGGAAACCTACCCTTCCACCAGGCTTTGCTTTTGGAGAAGTTATCTGTGGCAGAATCCATTATTCCACTAGTGATTGGAGGGAACATTTTCAAATAAAGATACTGGATACAGGGCTTTCTCTGCAGGCTAAGTGAGCAGAGGCCCCACTCTGGCCTTGGATTTTATGTTTTAATGGATAAGCTACAGCTGCTCCCTGGAGAAACAGATCCTGGCGGTCTGCTCTGAGTGTGCAGCTCCTTTGGAAGTACACAAGGCTGCCAACAAGAGCATGTGTACATGTGTCTGTGCATGTTAGCGCATGCGTGTGCACACATAAGTGTCCATGCACTCACATTGACAAGAGTGTGAGGGCACTGTGAGCAGGAGAGGAACCATTTCCAGGTGCCTGTGGGTGTCTGTGAGTGCAAACTGCACACGTGTGAGTCTGAACACGTGGATGTGTGTGAGCAGAGGAGCAGTTGTTTCTAGGACAGGTTTCCTGTCCCACATGGGAAATTGCACGTGGCCCAACATCCGAGATGCAACATTTAAAAGGATTTCCTTCCAGAGTTTCTTAAAAGAATGAACTCCCCCAGGATGCTGAAAATGGAATTCTATTTAGGAAAATGCCATATTGCACACACCTTTTTAGGAATGCTATATCTATGAAATGAATTATGCCTGTTTGTTAAAAATTACCTTCAACTTGGCTCTTGGTAGCTTCTCAAATCATGAAGACATTTTTCTTCCAGACTGCTTTTGTTGTTAGTTCAGGAATGGCCCAGAGGCAAATATCCCAGGATTTTAAAACAGAGAATCTGGCTGGGCATGGTGGCTCATGCCTGTAATCCCAGCACTTTGGGAGGCCAAGGCAGGTGGATCACGAGGTCAGGAGATCGAGACCATCCCAGCCAACATAGTGAAATTCCATCTCTACTAAAAATACGAAAGTTAGCTGGGCGTGGTGGTGCATGCCTGTAATCACAGCTACTCGGGAGGCAGAGGCAGGAGAATCCCTTGAACCAGGAAGTTGGAGGTTGCAGTGAGCCGAGATCACGCCACAGCACTCTAGCCTGGCAACAGAGCGAGACTCCGTCTCAAAACAAAACAAAAAAAAAAAAAAAAAAAAAGGAATCTGAGAGAGGCCCAGACCTAGTCATGAATCTTGCCCAGATACCAAGGACAAGGCAAGATTCTGAGATGAGAGATTCAAAGCCTTTGAGAACCTCAGATTAATCCTTAGAAAGGACTAATGAATTATTAACGATGAAATAAATAAAAATACTATTTATTAAGTGCTTACTGTGTGCCAAGTTCTTGGCTAAGCCCTAAGGCTACCTAACCTCACTTTGCAAATGAAGAGCTAAGAAGTTGCTTGCCCAAAACCACACGTCAATTATTGTCAAAACTGGAGTGGGAATTCAAGTTTATCACCTCAATTCTTTGCAGCAACCCTGCGAGGCCTATGCCCTAGCTCCTCAGCTGTCATCCCTTCTTCCTGTTAAAACATTCCTACAATGTGTCTCTTTTACAGGAACCAGTTTGAAGTCACAGCTGGAAAGGATCTGACACTGTGATAACATCATCCTGGTTACTTCTCCCAAAGGATTGACACTTTAACCTGAGGCCTGAACAGCCTTCTCGGTGAACCCCAGTGAGCCAAGCAGATTATCTCCTGGTCAGCCTAGTTTTCCAATGCACAATGCCTCATGCATTGTGAGAGTCACCTCTTCAGAACAACATACCACTCCCTCAATTCCTCAAGAATATTCACTAGCTCCCCATTGCCTGCAGGGCATCCAGAGCTTGGCTGTCTTCTAACTCATCTCCTATTGCTTGGCCCAATGCTCCAGCTACTGACCCTCTCTGTCCTCCACCAATACAATGTGCCCCTTCTCCCCCAGGGCCCACTTCTGCCTCCTCTTTGCCTGTCCAAACTCCTCTCATTCTCTAGGGCCAGGAAACTCCTACTGACCTTGCCTTTCCCTCCCAGAAGTCCTGATGTGCTATGCTTTGAATTGCCTCTTCCTCTTTTGCCATTATCTATTGCCTTGCATCATTTGTAAGTTTGGCCTGGGATGTCTTTGCCTCCCAGACATGCTAGGGACAGGGACCCTGTGCTGTTATTTTTCTCATATCCCTCACAGTGCCTATGACAGAGGAAGGCCTGGAGTAGATGCTTCAGAAATACCTGAGAATTGAAAAAACCAAGGCAAGGGAAAGTGTGCCAAGGGGAGCTCTCATCTTTCTGTTCTTTAGGTCTCAGTTTAAAGGTTATTTTTGCATATCCCCACCTTGTTCCCACCTACCCCACAAATGACCAAAATTGGATTCTATGAGCAGTCATTTTCCTTCCTGGCATTCATCACATTTTATACTTTTTTTTTTTTTTTTTTTTGAGACAGAGTTTCGCTCTTGTTGCCCAGGCTGGAGTGCAATGGCATGATCTTGGCTCACTGCAACCTCCACCTCCTGGGTCAGGTGATTCTCCTGCCTCAGCCTCCTGAGTAGCTGGGATTACAGGTGCACTCAGCTAATTTTTTTTTTTTTTTTTTTTTTTAGTAGAGATGAGGTTTCACCATGTTGGCCAGGCTGGTCTCAAACTCCTGACCTCAGGTGATCTGCCCACCTCAGCCTCCCGAAGTGCTGGGATTACAGGCGTGAGCCACCGCGCCTGGCCATATTTTATACTACTTTTATGTGACTCTGTGTTTGCTGACTGCTTTCTACTAGACTCTAAGCTCCACAGAACACCTGTTCGGTTCACCTCTATATCCCCAGTATCTAGCTTGATGCACAATAGGGGCTCAAAACTATTTGTTGAGGCAGGGCATGGTGGCTCATGCCTGTAATCGCAACACTTTGGGGGGCCAAGGAAGGATGATCACTTGATCCCAGGAGTTTGAGACCAGCCTGGGCAACATAGGGAGACCCTGTCTCTACAAAAAGTAAAATGAAATTTTGCCGGGCATGGTCCCAGCTACTTGGGAGGCTGAGATCGGAGAATCACTTGAGCCCAGGAGGTCAAGGCTGCAGTGAGCTATGATTGTGCCACTGTACTCCAGCCTGGGTGACAGAGCAAGACCCTGTCTCAAAAAATAAAAACAAACAAAAACCTCACCTACTTGTTGAAAGAATGAATTAGGAAGGGAGAGGAGATTACTTGTTTTGGGTATTTGTAATTGTCCTCAGGAACTCTCCATAAGAACACTTCCATTTTTCAGTCTAGACCAGGGACTCAGGTCTGAGAGGACCAGTATCTCTAGGGTAAATATAACCCCAGCCACAAAGCAAATTGAAGCAGTCCCCCTTTCCTGAGCACTAAGTATGTTCCAGGCACTGTACTGAGTGCTTTGCCCACAGGCCCCAGTTACTCTTCACCACACCCATAGAAAGTAAGCATCATGAGCAGCTCCATCATACAGATGAGGGATCTGAAGCTGTGCATTTCTACCCCTCCCAGCCTTTCTAGTTGTGTGTGGTTCCCATCTTGCAGGGGAAGAAAATCTCAGGAGTGGCTGAGAAGTCCCAGAAGAGCTTTTGCACATGCATCAAAACTGCCCCTATCAGGCCCGGTGCAGTGGCTCACGCCTGTAATCCCAGCACTTTGGAAGGTGGGCGGATCTCCTGAGGTCAGAAGTTCCAGACCAGCCTGACCAACATGGTGAAACCGTCTCTACTAAAAATACAAAATTAGCCGGGTGTGGTGGCGCATGCCTGTAATCCCAGCTACTCGGGAGGCTGAGACAGGAGAATCACTTGAACCCGGGAGGCAGAGGTTGCAGTGAGCTGAGATCTTGCCATTGCACTCCAGCCTGGGCAACAAGAGTGAAACTCCGTCTCAAAACAAAACAAAACAAACAAACAAACAAAAAACTGCCCCTGCCTTCCAAGGAAGGAAAGCCAGTTCCTGGGGAATAAGCCAGAAATCAACAGTGGCCCTGCCTGCCCTGCCGGTGGGTGCAGACATGTGGAAACCAGATGGAAAGGGGGCCCATGGGCCCAATCAGACTCTTGGAGGTGATGAGAATGCCCCGAAGCCAGAAACAGCTGGCTAGAAGAGACGGGTGTAGCTTGGGAATTCTGGTGTGGGTAAAACAGAAACCCCCCTGGGCACCAACCCTTCCACGGCATTCAGAGTCCCTTTCACCCACACCTCTATTGTTCCTCCTTTTCTCCATGTAGCCATTGCGGTACCACCATTCCACACTGAGGCTCAGAGAAGCAAGTCAGCCTGCTCAGGATCATGAAGCTGGAAAGTGATGAAATCAACCACCTTAAAACAACTCCCCACAGGTGGGGGCAAGGCTGACCCCTTTAAGCAAACCTCCTTTGTGTAGAAGCAGCAGCTGGAGAAACAGCTGCCAGATGGAACACTGGCCTTCACTTTCCAGCTGGGAGCCATCCAGCTCTATGCAGCTTTACTGGAGGAGTTCCTTGGAGGAAAAGCTCCTCCATGGGAGGCCTCGTTTAAGCAAACACGGTCACATGAGGTGTTGCAGCAGCAGCAGGCCACCGCAGAGATAGCTGCTTGGGTGCAGGGCCATGAAGACCTCTGAGACTGAACATACAAATGGGCAATGGCCAGACTATATTTAAAAATAGAACTCCAACCCACAACCTGTAGCAACCAATTCAGAAAGCTGACCCACCATTGGCAACCAAGTCCAGGAAGCCAAACAGTCTCTGCGGCAATCAGCCCAAAATGGCCAGAACTTGACCAACAACTGACAAAATGCCCAGAACTTGACCAACAACATCCTAATTTTTGCCCCAGTGTGCAACTTAGGACCAATTGGAGGAAGCCAGATGTGCTCCCCTAACCAGTCACATAGGATGTCCCGCTTCTAATAGGCCCACCTACAGCTTCCTGATGTCAACAGCCTCCAATCAGGGCACACCCAAAGCCTCCCCTTTTCCCACCACAAAGCTTCTCCACTTCCCTGCCCACCTTTGAGGCCTCTGACAAAGGCAAGTGATGGTAGCTGACTCCCTTGCTATAGCAAGCTCTGAATCAATAGGCTTTGCTCATTTTCATGTGGGCTTCGTTTATTTCTATACCTCCTAGTTGCTTAATTGTTTTATGACTTGATTTTCTTATCTGTGAAATGGGACCATAATTTTGGACACAAATCTTTTGGGAGGAAAATGCCTTGAATTGCAGGGGAGTCCCCGATACATCCCCACTCCCTGGGTCACCTCTGATCTCAGTTCAGCTGCCACATAACCCACCTCCCTCTTGTTCTGAGCATAACTGGGCACATCTACATGCCCAGTTCCTTCATTTTTTCAGGGGAGGACCCTGAATCCAAGCAGGAAAATGCTGACTTACCCGAGGTCCTCTCCTCCAGAGGTTTTTAATGACCCAGTCTTGCTCTCTGGTTTCCTCCCTCCTGACTGCCCAGGAAAGCAAGCACATGAGCCTTTTCAGCAACTCTGCAGGGTGGGGCTTCAATCTATGGTGAAACTGAGGAGGCTAAAGGAGGAAAAATGCACACAGGAGTGAGTTACCAGGCCACAGAAGCTTCCCAACCAGGAAAGGCCAGTTGTGGCCTGCATACGGAGCTCTGCCCTCCATAGGGAGGTTTTTCTTCCTTGGTTTCAGGGAGCGTGAGCCCCACCCAGGTTTTCTGAACCTCTTTTATTCAGGGAGGCTGGCTGGCTCTAGGAGAGTCCCTTTTCCCTTCCTGGGGTTGTTTCCACCCAAGCCTGGCTCCACCTTCTCACTGCAAGACAAAAGCAAAGGGGATCACAAATCACAGTACTCACCATTCTAGTAGTAGTGTGCCATAATACACGATATTAACTACTTTTCATATATAGACCCTTTCAGTCCTCAGAACAGCCCTCTGATACATATATGTACCATTATTAGCATGTCCATTTAACAAATGGGGAAACTGAGTCATGGAGCCATCAGATGATGTGCCCAAAGTCACACAAATAGCAAGTCGAAGAACAGGGATTAAAACCCACATCCAGAGATGAGCTCTCAAACACCTTATGGTACCACTTCAGAATGTTTTCAAATGAACACAAGTATGAATAGGACATGGTCAAGCGTAGTTGCTCATGTTTATAATCCCAGCACTTTGGGAGGCTAAGGCAGGAGGATCACTTGAAGCCAGGAGTTGGAGACAAGGCTGGGCAACATAGTGAGACCCCATCTCTACAATAAAATAAAATAAAATAAAATTAGCTAGGCATGGCGGCACACACCTGTAATCCTACGGAGAGGCTGAGGCGCAAGGATCACTTGAGCCCAGGAGTTCGAGGCTGCAGTGTGCTGTGATTGCGCCACTGCACTCCAGCCTAGGTGACACAGCCAGGTCCTCTCTCTAAACAATATCAAAAAAATCAAATACTAATAGAACAGTATTTTGCGTGTTCCAAAGTTGGGAGCAGGATTCATTTATATTTCAGAGAAATGTTGGGTTCTTTCTCATTTATTCTTAGTTCATTTGGCTTCCACAAACATTCACTGACCCCTAAGAGAGATACCGAGAGATATGAATAAGGCCTTCTCCGCCTCAGACCTAGCACTTTCCCGGGGTTGAGGAGGCCACTCTGCTAACCCCCAACCCACTCACTTCAGGGCTTCCCAGATGGTGAAATATAGTTTACACTCAGAAAAGAGCAGGACACACGTATCACCAGACAACACACGTAACACTGGAAGAGCTAGTTTTACATCCAGATTCCTGGGCTTCAACCTAGGAAAAGAGCCTGAGAAACTTTTTTTTTTTTTTTTTTTTTGAGACAAGGTCTCGCTCTGTCACTCAGGCTGGAGTGCAGTGGTGCAGTAATAGCTCACTGCAGCCTCAAATGCCTGGGCTCAAGGAATCCTCCCACTTTACCCTCCTGAGTAGCTAGGACTACAGGCACGCATCACCACATGGGGCTAATTTTTAAAAAATGTTTGTAGAGGCGGGATCTTGCTTTGTTTTCCAGGCTGGTCTCAAACCTGTGGGCTCAAGTGATCCTCTTGCCTCGGCCTCCCAAAATGCTGGGATTACAGGTGTGAGCCACTACACCAGGCCAAACCTAATTTTTTTTTTTTTTTTTTGAGACAGAGTTTTGCTCTTGTCACCCAGGCTGGAGTGCAATGGCGAGATCTCGGCTCACTGCAGCCTCCGCCCCACCCCACCCTACCCCAGGTTCAAGCAATTCTCCTGCCTCAGCCTCCTGAGTAGCTGAGATTACAGGCGGCTGTCACCACACCCAGCTAATTTTTGTATTTTTAAAATTTATTTTTAGTTTTTTGAGATGGAGTCTTGCTATGTTGCCCAGGCTGGAGTACAGTGGTGCAAACTCGGCTCACTGCAACCTCTGTCTCCCAGGTTTAAGCAATTCTACTGCCTTGGCCTCCCGAGTAGCTGGGATTACAGGTGCATGCCACCACACTGGCTAATTTTTATATTTTTAATAGAGATGGGGTTTTGCCATGTTGGCCAGGCTGGTCTGGAACTCCTGACCTCGTGATCTGCTTGCCTCGGCCTCCCAAAGTGCTGGGATTACAGGCATGAGCCACTGCGCCCGGCCATAATTTTTGTGTTTTTAGTAGAGACAGGGTTTCACCATGTTGGCCAGGCTGGTCTTGAACTCCTGATGTCAGGTGATCCACCCACCTTGGCCTCCCAAGGTGCTGGGATTATAGGCGTCAGCCACCGCTCCCGGCAAAACCTGAATTTTTAACTAGCATGCTGGGTGAATTTTATCAGGACAGTGAACCAGGACTCTCTGAAATCCCTTCCCCGGGATAGTCAACGAGGCTTTCAATTTAAACTTGCATTTGAAGCTTGCAGAGACTCACACTGACTTACCCAGGCCCTAACACACAGCAGCTGTCTCCATGGTTGCGCCAGGTAGTGAAGGATACAGGGCAGCAGGAAACGAGTCCCGGTTCTCAGGTGGATCCCGTGCTTCCACCTCTGTTAGAGCCCAGGCCCTGAGGGCATAGGGCCAAATTGCCACAGAGCTCCAGAGAAATCTGTCTCTCCCGTCCCCCACCCTAAGACTGAGCTGCTGGAGGAAAGAGGCCAGGTTTGTTTCCTTTTATTGGTTAACTCTCTTCAGTCGCCCCTTTCTCCTGCAGACACCTTGGGGACTTTTAGTAATTGTCAGCTGAATGAATAAATTAATGACAGAGGGAGACAGACGTGTTAACAGCTAACAGTAATTCAAGCAGAATGGAGTAAGTGCTAAATAGTGGTGGAATGAGTCATGAATGCTGACAGGGAAGGAAGAGGGAAAAAGGCATTCATTCTCTCCCCCTCCACTGTCAAAACAGTGCCTTCACTCTTCCTCCCTCCATCTCTCTTACAGGCACCAGAGAGCAGAAAATGTATGTGTATAGTTTCAAGAACAGTTCCAAAGCAAACACCCATATAGTCACCCCCATGTGCTGGCCCCCAGGATAAGAAATAGAACCTTGCCAGAACCTCAGAAGCCTTTCCTGGCCCCCTCCATGACATCATCATTCCCCGCCTCTTGCCCTCATCTAACTTCTAATCTGATTCTGAGGGGAATCATTTTCTTACTTTTCTTTTTTTTTTCTCCTTCTTTTTTTTTTTTTTTTTGAGACAGAGTCTTTCGCTCGGTCACCCAGGCTGGAGTGCAATGCCATGATCTTGGCTCACCGCAACCTCTGCCTCCCGGGTTCAAGGGATTCTCCTGCCTCAACTTCCCAAGTAGCTGGGATTACAGGCATGCGCCACCACACTTGGCTAATTTTGTATGTTTAGTAGAGATGGGGTTTCACCATGTTGGCCAGGCTGGTCTTGAACTCCCTGCCTCAAGTGATCCACCCACCTTGGCCTCCCAAAGTGCTGGGATTACAGGCGCGAGCCACCGTGCCTGGCTCATTTTCTTACTTTTCTTAATTTTTTTTTTTTTTTTTTTTTGAGACAGAGTCTCGCTCTGTTGCCCAGGCTGGAGTGCAGTGGCGCAATCTCGGCTCACTGCAACCTCTACCTCCTGGGTTCAAACGATCCTCCTGCCTCAGCCTCCCAAGTATCTGGGATTATAGGCACCTGCCACCACGCCCAGCTAATTTTTGTATTTTTTGTAGAGATGGACTTTCACCATGTTGGCCAGACTGCCTCTGGTCTCGAACTCCTGACCTCAAGTGATCTGCCTGCCTTGGCCTCCCAAAGTGTTGGGATTACAGGCATTACCACTGCCTCTGGCCATTTTCTTACTTTTCTTTATTGTTTGACTGTGAATGTCTATGTCACAAGACAAGACGTTGCCTTGTTTTGAATTTATGACCACACGTTTTCTTCTGTGGCTTGCTTTCCTTGTGCAATATTTTTTGGACTTTTGCCTGTGTCGATGCTTGTGGTGGTAGGTATACATTCTCACTGCTGCATGGCCGATTCTATTGTGTAAACATACCACAACTTACTTAGCCATTCTCCTGTGGATGGTCATTTGGATTGTGTCCAGTCTTTGGCAATTACTAGCAATGCTGCTGTATGTGACTCCTAATGCACACATCTATTTAATATATTTAAGAGGAAGTGCTGGGTCATGGGGTATGTGATTTTCAACTTTCCCAGCTAGTGCCTAACTGTTTTCTGAAATGCATCTGCTTCTAGACTGTCTCATTTGCAGTTCAACTTACTCAGTAGCACTAGGGTAGTCTCTCCTAACAGGTAATACCAATTGAACTCTCTTAGTTTCATCAGGGTAAGCGTTTGGGGAAAGGGGAGGATAAAAATGGTTAGGTGTGGCCGAGTGTGGTAGCTCATGCCTGTAATCCCAGCACTTTGGGAGGCCAAGGTGGGCGGATCACAAGGTCAGGAGATGGAGACCATCCTGGCTAACATGATGAAACCCTGTCTCTACTAAAACTACAGAAAAATAAGCTGAGTGTGGTGGTGTGTGCCTGTAGTCTCAGCTACTTGGGAGGCTGAGGCAGGAGAATGGCGTGAACCCAGGAGGCGGAGCTTACAGTGAGCTGAGATCACGCCACTGCACTCCAGCCTGGGTGACACAGTGAGACTCCATATCAAAAAAAAAAAAAGAAAAGGTCAGGTATGGTGGCTCACACACTAGCACTTTGGGAGGGAGGCTAAGGAAGGAGGATCACTTGAGTCCAGGAATTAGAGGCTGTAGTGAGCTATTATCATACCCCTGTATGCCAGCCTGGGCAACAGACTGAGTCCCTATCTCAATAAAAAAAAAAAGAGGAGAAGAAAAATGGTGTATAGAGACCCCCGATGGGAGTAAGCCCAAGGTTCATTGGCTACTGTGACAGTCAGTTAAATTATTTTTTTCTGGCTGGGTGCAGTGGCTCATGCCTGTAATCCTGCACTTTAGGAGGCTGAGGTGGGCAGATCAATTAAGGTCAGGAGTTTGAGACAAGCCTGACCAACATTGCAAAATCCTGTCTCTACAAAAATACAAAAATTAGCCAGGCGTGGTGGCGGGCGCCTGTAATCCCAGCTACTAGGGAGACTAAGGCAGGAGAATCACTTGAACCTAGGAGGCAAAGATTGCAGTAAGCCAAGGTCATGCCACTGCACTTCAGCCTGGGCGACAGAGCAAGACTCTGTCTCAAAAAAACAAAAACAAACACAAAAAAACCCAAAATAAAAAATTATTTTTTTCTGTGAGTAACAGAAATCCCCAAATAACAGCAGATTAAACAAAACAGAAATACATTTCTCTCCCACATAAATGAAAGTCTGAAGTCAGCTATCCAGACTGATACAGTGCTCCACGAGGTAGGTTCCTTTGCTCTTGTTCCACTGTCTCTGCAAATGGCTTGAGCTGCTTGAGCTCCAGCCATCACGTCTATATCCTAGCCAACAAGAAGGAGGAAAGACAAAAAGAAATTTTTGTCTCTTTCCTTTGAATACACTTTCAGAAAGTCACACAGGCACTGCATATATTCCAGTGGCCAGAGCTTAATCTCACAGAAAGAAAGATCTGCAAGTGATACTGGGAAATGTAGTCCTTGTTCTTGGTGGCTGTGTGCCCAGCTAAAATCCGGGAGTTTCATGATTAAGGAAGGAGGGAGAATGGATTTTGCAGGACAATGAACAATCTCTGCTATGGATATCCTTGCTCAGGAAAGCACTTCTGGGTAGGTCTGCCTAATGCCCTCACCACACACACTTACAGATACATATCTCAGAAGTCGAAATGGAGAGTAAAGTAGGTATTTAGCAATGCCATGTCTTTATTTATTTTATTTTATGTTATTTTATTTTTTGAGACAGTTTTGCTCTTGTTGCCCAGGCTGGAGTGTAATGGCGCGTTCTCCGCTCATTGC
Organism: Homo sapiens; assembly: GCF_000001405.40. Classification (NCBI taxonomy): domain Eukaryota; kingdom Metazoa; phylum Chordata; class Mammalia; order Primates; family Hominidae; genus Homo; species Homo sapiens. The sequence goes on from NC_000010.11 coordinate 77,946,619, forward strand.
AACCTCTGCTTCCCAGTTCAAGCAATTCTCCTGCTTCAGCCTCCCAAGTAGCTGGAATTACAGGCATGTGTCACCATGCCCCGATAATTTTGTATTTTTGGTAGAGACAGGGTTTCACCAGGTTGGCCAGGCTGGTCTCAAACTCCTGACCTCAGGTGATCCGACCACCTCAGCCTCCCAAAGTGCCAGGATTACAGGCATGAGCCACCTTGCCTGTCAATGCCATGTCTTTAAATATTACAAGATATACTCTCTGTTCATCTAGGAAACTGTGGTGCCCAAATGGTGAGTATAATTAGTTATTTTAGGCAAATACTCTGCTGGATCATATGGCAATTTTTTTTTTTTTGAGATGGAGTCTTACTCTGTCGCCCAGGGTGGAGTGAAGTGGTGCCATCTCGGTTCACTGCAACCTCCTCCTTCTGGGTTCAAGCAATTCTCCTGCATCAGCCTCCTGAATAGCTGGGACTACAGGCACTTGCCACTTTACTTGGCTAATTTTTGTATTTTCACCATGTTGGCCAGGCTGGTCTTGAACTCCTGACCTCAGGTGATCCACCAGCCTCGGCCTCCCAAAGTGCTGGGATTACAGGTGTGAGCCACTGTGCCCGGCCTGGATCATATGGTAATTCTATGTTTTATTTATTTACGAGACAAGGTCTCACTCTGTCATCCAGGCTGGAGTGCAGTCATGTGATCATAGTTCACTGCAACCTTGAACTCCTGGGCTCAAGGTATCCTTCTACGTCTGCCTCCCAAAGCGCTGAGATTACAGGCATGAGCCACCACATTCAGCCTATGTTGAATTTTTTTTTTTTTTTTTTTGAGATAGGGTCTCGCTCTGTTATCCAGGCTGGAGTGCAGTGGTGTGATCACAGCTCACTGCAGCCTCCACCTGGCTCAAGTGATCCTCCTGCCTCAGTTTCCCAAGTAGCTGGCACCACAGGTGCACACCACCATGCCCAGCTAATTAAAAATTTTTTTTGCAGAGATGGGGACCTCTCTGTGTTGCCCAAGCTGGTCTTGAACTCCTTACCTCAAGTGATCCTCTTGCTTTGGCCTCCCACAGTGCTGAGACTATAGGTGTCAGCCACCATGCCTGGTCTATGCTTAATTTTCTGAGGGACTGCCACACTCTTTTCCATAGCAGATGCATGATTGTACATTTCCACCCAGAGTGCACAAAAATTTCAGTTTCTCGGCCTGGCACAGTGGCTCACGCCTGTAATCCCAGCACTTTGGGAGGCCGAGGTGGGCAGATCATGAGGTCAGGAGATCGAGACCATCCTGGCTAACACAGTGAAACCCCGTCTCTACTAAAAATACAAAAAAATTAGCTGGGCGTGGTGGCGGGCGCCTGTAGTCCCAGCTACTCGGGAGGCTGAGGCAGGAGAATGGCATGAACCTGGGAGGCGGAGCTTGCAGGGAGCCGAGATCGTGCCACTGCACTCCAGCCTGGGTGACAAAGCGAGACTCTGTCTCAAAAAAAAAAAAAAAAAAAAAAAAAATTTCAGTTTCTCCATATCCTTGCTAAGGCTGGTTATTTTCTGGTTTTTATTTATGTTTAAAATATGTATTTATTTACTTATAGAGACAGAGTCTTGCTCTGTTGCCCAGGCTGGAGTGCAGTACAGTGGCATGATCATAGCTTACTGCAGGATTGAACTCCTGGGCTCAAGGATCTTACTATCTCAGCCTCCCCAGTAGCTGGGACTATAGGCATGTGTGACCATGCCTGGCTAATTTTTTAATTTTATGTAGAGACAGGTTCTGGCTATGTTGTCCAGGCTGGTCTCCAACTCCTGGCCTCAAATGACCCACCCGGTTTGGTCTCCCACAGTGCTGAGATTACAGATGTGAGCCACTGTGCCCAGTCTATTTTTAAATATATTCTTAAATTTTTCATTGTAACCATCTTTTTTTTTTTTTTTTTTTTTTTGAGACAGGGCCTCATTTTGTCCCGCAGGCTGGAATGCAGTGGCACAATCTTGGCTCACTACAGCCTCTACCTCCCGATTCAAGCAACCCTCCTGCCTCAGCACCCCAAAGTAGCTGGGACTACAGGTGCATGGCACCACGCCTGCCTAATTTTAAATGTCTTTTTTGTAGAGGCGGGGTTTAGCTGTGTCGCCCAGGCTGGTCTTGAACTCCTGAGCTCAAGCGATCCTCCCGCCTTGGCTTCCCAAAGTGCTGGGATTACAGGCATGAGCCACCGCGCCCAGCCAGATAGTAGCCATCTTAATGGAGTGAGATGGCTTACTTTTAAACATTATTTCTAAACTGAACCCAGACCCTGGCATATTAGAGGTGGTTACACAGTGAACGCATTTGACGAACAGTCAAGGTAATTTTGTTTTCCAGGGTTTGCTCCATGAATAAACAATCTCTGAGAGGCTAGTATCTTGTCCAAGGTCAAGAGCCTGAATTTGAATTGTCTGACTGAAAGGCAGCATGTTCTCTACTAGTCACCTCTCTACCTGGTTCCACCCTATGCAAGGCAAACAAACGCAGAAGAAAGAAACCCATTGCCGTGCAAAATCCAGTGATTCCAAACCCAACCAGCCCACCAGGGATGTTCTGGGAGTCCGAGCTGGGGACAGGAGCACAGCCAGCCCTAGCCAGCCCTCCCCCCACCACACTCAGTGCCTGGCGGGGCAGAGCGAGTCACATTTCAGCCTCACTCACAGGCCAGCTTGAAATTCGGCCCAGCCGCCACTGCCTCCTGAGAACTCCTCCGGATGCCTGCAGGCTTATGCGGGGCTGAGTCACTTCCTCACCTTAATTCTCCCCTAATACCTTCCCTTTCTCTGCTGCTTTACTCCTGGCACCACTGTCTGGGTGTGGAATGTCTGGGGAAGCTGTGCAGGTGGGTTGGCTGAGCTGTCTGCCCAGATACCACAAACATGGCTGGGGAGAGAGGATGCAGGGGTAAAAGTAAAGCCAGATTTGTCTGCTGGCTCTTAAGCGCATCCTAATCCCCTCAGTCAGTTTGATCTTCGCAAACATGAGCACAGGTCAATATCTCTAAGCTTGGGTCCTGAGGGGCTGGTGGAGGATGGAGCAGAGGATGGATGAAGAGGAACAGGAAGTGAGGGGAGAGTGATGGCTGCTTTGGCTTTTAGAAACTTCCATCCCACATTACTTTCCCTAGGGAAGCTCCCACCTCCCATCCCTGGGAGAACAGACTGCATCCTGGAAGGTCAAGTTCCAGGTCATGTTAAATATGATGGTTTCCTGGATGAGTCTAAGGACATATCATTAATATCTTCAGCCTATTTCCAGAAGTCCTGCTGTTCCTCTTACCTACATGTATGCTGTTCTTCCCTGTGTACAACTTAACTTTCCTTTTCAGGTTTCGGATGCTTTGTCTGTACATTGCTTTGTGTGTTTGCCTGCCTCAGCTTGTACTTTCGGAGATAGAAATTGGGTCAAAGTTTTAATTTTTATTTAAGTTATTCATTTATATAGTTTAAAAAGTCAAGGGATGGTGCAAGATTTATGAAAAAGAGCCCTCTCCCTTCCCCTTAGCAGAGATAATCATCTTCACCTTTTTTCTTTTTTTTTTTTTTTTGAGACAGAGTGTCGCTCCATTGCCCAGGCTGGAGTGCAGCGACGTGATCTCGGCTCACTGCGACCTCCACCTCCCGGATTCAAGAGATTCTCCTCCTGCCTCAGCCTCCCGAGTAGCTGGGACTACAGGCGTATGCCACCATACCTGGCTAATTTTTGTATTTTTAGTAGAGATGGGGTTTCTCCATGTTGGCCAGGCTGGTCTTGAACTCCTGACCTCAAGTGATCTGCCCGCCTCGGCCTCCCAAAGTGCTGGGATTACAGGTGTGAGCCAGCATTCCTGGCCATCTTCAATTTTTATAGCTCATTCTTTTGGCATTTGTCTCCATTTCCCTCAATAATATTATTTTATTACTACGTCATGATTTTTCAGTTTTAGGCACTATTTATTGTCTTCCATACTTGAACAACCCATGCACCCTTCCTGGCCTCCATCTTTCCACTACAGTCATACAATAATTTGGTTAGAGCAATAGCCAGTTTTTACATTAATACCACTATGTAAAGACTATTACCATGTGATGGACTATGCACAATTTTTTATTTTCCCTGGAGCTAATAATTATCTCCGCCCCCACCCCAATTCATTTACTTAGTTTCCTATGTGTTTAATGCCAAGCTCTTTCAGTTGTTATAATCTTCCCTTAATACTTTCAGATGATATTCTACCAATTTTATTTTCTTGAAGAAATCTCTCTTAGACATGGCTGGGCACGGTGGCTCATGCCTGTAATCCCAGCACTTTGGGAGGACAACATGGGTGGATCGCCTGAGGTCAGGAGTTTGAGACCAGCCTGGCCAGCATGGTAAAACCCCATCTCTACTAAAAACACAAAAAATTATCTGGGCGTGGTGGCAGGTGCCTGTAATCCCAGCTACTCGGGAGGCTGAGGCAGGAGAAGTGCTTGAATCGGGGAGGCAGAGTTTGCAGTGAGCCGAGATCGCACCATTACACTCCAGCATGGGTGACAAGAGCAAAACTGCATCTCAAAAAAAAGAAAAGAAGAAATCTCTCCTAGACATTTCTGACCTTATCTGGTCTAGGCTGGTTGTCCTATAGGACTGTTGCATTGTCGTCATCTTGCAATCTCTTTTTACCAACATCCTGGGGGATTCTCTTTATCTATCACATGTCAGATTCCTGTTTCCCCTTGTCTTTTTCTTGGTTTACTACCTTATCATCCAGGAGCCTCCTGAGTATATAAACATTTTTTTCTGAACCTTAAATGACTCAAATGTCTTTTTCTATCTTCAACCTTGATTGATAGTTTGGTTCTGTAGTCCCAGCTACTCGGGAGGCTGAGGCAGGAGAATGGCGTGAACCAGGTGGGCAGAGCTTGCAGTGAGCCGAGATTGCGCCACTGCACTCCAACCTGGGCGACAGAGCAAGACTCCATCTCAAAAAAAAAAAAAAAAAAAAAAAAAAAAGATAGTTTGGTTGGGTATAAAATTTTAAGTTGAATGGCTGGGTTCCATGGCTCACACCTGTAATCCCAGCCCTTTGGGAGTACGAGGTGGGTGGATCACTTAAGGTCAGGAGTTTGAGACTTGGTGAAACCCTGTCTCTACTAAAAATACAAAAAATTAGCCAGGTCTGGTGGCTCATACCTATAATCCCAGCTACATGGGAGACTGAGGCAGGAGAATTGCTTGAAGTCAGAAGATGGAGGTTGCAGTGAGCTGAGATCGCGCCACTACACTCCAGCCTGGGCAACAGAGTGAGACTTTGTCTCAAAAATAAAAAAAAAAAAAGAATTATGTTGGAGATGATTTTCCTTTGGAAGTTTGAAAGCATTGCTTATCTTCTAACTTCCAGTGCATCTATTGAGACATTCAAGGCACTCTAATGCCTGACCTCCTCCCCTTTCCCTTTGGAAACTTGCAGGATCTTCTCTTTGTCTTCAGTGTTCTGAATTATAATGATTTGTCTTGATGTTGGTCTCTTTTCATCCATTGGGCCAAGAAATCTTGGGCCCTTTTAAACTGGAAATATATGTCTCCGTTTTTGAAAATTTTCTTTGGGTATTTTATTTTATTTTATTTTATTGAGACAGAGTCTTGCTCTGTCGCCCAGGCTGGAGTGCAGTGGTGCAATCTCGGCTTACTGCAACCTCCGCCTCCCAGGTTCAAGCGATTCTCCTGCCTCAGCCTCCTGAGTAGCTGGGATTACAGGTGCCTGTCACCACACCCGGATAATTTTTTGTATTTTTAGTACAGATGAAGTTTCACTATGTTGGCCAGGCTGGTCTCAAACTCCTGACCTTGTGATCCACCCGCCTTGGCCTCCCAAACTGCTGGAATTACAGGTGTGAGCCACTGTGCCCAGCCCAGGTGTTTTTTTAATCATTTCCTCCATTCCTTTTTCTCTGTTGTTTTTTGTTTATTTTTGTTTATTTTTTTAATGGAATTCCTATTATTCAGGAAGTGGAATTCCTGTATTAGGCCTCTAATTTTCTTATCTATTCTCTCCTATTTTCTGTGACTATGTTTTTGTAAGATTTCCTCAATTTTATATTCCAATCCTTCTACTGAGTTTTTGATTTCTCACATTATATTTTTAAGTTTAAAGAGCTCCTTTTTTGTCCTTTGAATGTTCCCCTAAACAAAAAAAAACAATAGTGGCCAGGCATGGTGGCTCATACCTGTAATCCCAGCACTTTGGGAGGCTGAGGTAGAGGACTGAGATCAGGAGTTCAAAACCAGCCTGGGCAGCAAAGTGAGACCCCATCTCTACAAAAAAATAAAAAAATTAGCTGAGTGTGATGGCATGTGCCTGTAGCCCCAGCTACATGGGAGGCTGAAGCAGGAGGGTTGCTTGATTCCAGGAGGTCAAGGCTGCAGTGAGCCATATTCGCACCACTGTACTCCAGCCTAGGTGACAGAGTGAGACGCTGTCTCAAAAACAAACAAAAACAACCAAAACCCCAACAGTATTGTGTTTTTGTCTCAGGTTTATATATTTGCATATGGAATGTCTATATAAATTATGTTCTTGCTGGGCATAGTGGTTTGCACCTGTAGTGCCAGTTCCTGGGGACGCTGGGGCAGGAAGATCACTTGAGCCCAGGAGTTCTGGGCTGTAGCATGCTATGCCGATCGGGTGCTAAGTTCGGCATCAATATGATGACCTCCCAGGAGCAGAGGACCACCAGGTTGCCCAAGGAGGGGTGAACTGGCCCAGATCAGAAAAGGAGCAGGTTGGCAGTTTAAATTGCATTGCATTGAAGAAATAGGTGGTGGGATCTTGCTGGGTGTTTGATTAGCCCTTTCTCTGTCTTGCTTGTTTGAGCTTCAGCAGAATTCAAAATGACTGGCAATAAGGCTGGGAAGGACTCTGGAAAAAAACAAGACAAAGGCGGTTTCCCACTCGCAGACAGCTGGCCTGCAGTTCCCAGTGGGACATATTCATCGACACCTGAGATCTAGGACGACCAGTCATGGGCATGTGGGTGCAAATGCCGCAGTGCATAGCATAGCCATCCTGGAGTAACTCACCACAGAGCTACCTGAACTGGCAGCAAAGGCATCAAAAGACTTCAAGGTAAAGCGTATTACCCTTCGTCACTTGCAACTTGCTGTTTGTGGAGATGAAGAATTGGATTCTGTCATCGAGGCTACAGTTGCTGATGGTGGTGTCATTCCACACACTCACAGATCTCTGATGGGGAAGAAAGGACAACAGAAGGCTGTCTAAAGGCTGCCTGGATTCCTTATTATCTCGAGACTCTAAGTACCTTACCAGCTGTCCAGCGTGGTGATTCCAGTAGGCTGTATCTCTGTGAAAAACATAATTTCATCTTTTTCTTTCTTTTTTTTTTAGACAGAGTTTTGCTCTTGTTGCCCAGGCTGGAGTGCAATGGCATGATCTCAGCTCACTGCAACCGCCTCCTGGGTTCAAGCTATTCTCCTGGCTCAGCCTCCTAAGTATCTGGGTTTACAGGTGCCTGCCACCATGCCCGGCTAACTTTTGTATTTTTAGTAGAGACGGGTTTCATCATGTTGGTCAGGCTGGCCTCGAACTCCTGACCTCAGGTGATCTGCCTGCCTCGGCCTCCCAAAGTGCTGGGATTACAGGCGTAAGCCACCACCCCCAGCCCAATTTTGTCTTTTTGTAATTGTGTCTGAGCAAGTTGGAAGTTTAATTAGCTTTCCAACTGACCAATTTCTGCATTCTAGTCTTAACCATATTTAATTGTTACTATGGCTTCAAAGAAGCTATTGATTCCAAAGTAGTGGGTTTTGATTGAGTTTTTTAAAAACTGGATTTTAACAGTGATGCAGAAGTTATAGTAACAAACATTTGGTTTTGTACAGGCATTATTTCCACTCTGGTGCATAAGCTCAATAAAGGTCATATCCCAAACTAAAAAAAGAAATGGAGCAGGTCAAAACTCCCATGCTGATCAGTTGATCAGTAGTGGGATTATGCCTATGAATAACCACTGCACTCCAGTCTGGGCAACATAGCAAGACTCTGTCTCAGAAAGGGGGAAAAATATCCATGTAAGTATTATGTCTGTTTTTGATAGTATTGTGTTCTTGTTTCAGAAATGCATGTTTGTTTTTGTTTGTTTGTTTGTTTTTTTGAGACAGAGTCTTGCTCTGTCGCCCAGGCTGGAGTGCGGTGGTGTGATCTCTGCTCATTGCAACCTCCGCCTCCTGGGTTCAAGAGCTTCTCCTGCCTTGGCCTCCCATGTAGCTGGGACTACAGGCGCCTGCCAACGTGCCTAGCTAATTTTTGTATTTTTAGCAGAGGCAGGGTTTCACCATGTTGGCCAGGCTGGTCTCGAACTCCTGACCTCAAATGATCCACCCACCTCGGCCTTCCGTGCTCAGCCTGATGCATATTTTTAAGATCTCGCTAAGAAATAATAATGATAGGGTTTTTGCCGTATTTTTAAAAGTTCTCTTTTCCCTGCATAAAATAGTTTTCTCCAAGTAGGTTTTTCCATTTATTTTTATCTCTGCCTTTCATGTTAGAGACTTTGGTCAGATGTCTGATGACTTGGTTATCTGAGTAGGGGCACTAAAAAGCTGATTGAAAAGTCTGAGCACATGGGGAGAACTTTTTGACTATGAACTTCATTGCAGGGTGATCTGGCTGAGCCATTCATTGTTATCAGTATCTTAGGTTTTTGTTTGTTGTTTGTTTGTTTGTTTGTTTTTTAGCTAGTCAGATTCTCCAAAATACACTCTTTCACTGATCACCTGGAGTTACGAAGCCCTGGGAGCTCAGTGAATGAAGAAGGCTGGGGTTTCACACTACAGCTGTAAATGTTTGCTTAATCCCCTGCTTGAAGTACAGATCTCTCTTACTAGCTGAGTCCAGAATCCTCTAGAGACCATGCAGTTTACTTTCTTCCGGGAATAAACTTTATTTATTTATTTATTTAGAGACGGAATCTCTCTGTATCACCCAGGCTGGAGTACAGTGGAATGATCTCGGCTCACTGCAACTTCCGCCTCCTGGGTTCAAGAGATTCTTGTGCTTCAGCCTCCTGAGTAGCTGGGACTACAGGCACATGCCACCATGCCACACTCATTTTAGTATTTTTTATAGAGGTAGAGTTTCTCCATGTTGGCCAGGCTGGTCTCGAACTCCTGGCCTCAAGTGATCCACCCGCCTCAGCCTCCCAAAGTGCTGGGATTACAGGTGTGAGCCACCATGCCCAGCCATCTCCTGGGAATAAACTTTAATCTCCCGCCAATTTTCTGGATGGCAGGATATGGGGAGGGCATTTGGGGTATATAATTTTTTCTTAAATTTTCAAACAGTTCTCTTGTTCTTAAGCCCCACGTTCACCTCTAATTCTGGTGCCAATTCCTGAGCCTGTTGGAAATTCCACAGAGTAAATCTGGTTACTTTTAGCTTCTTCTCCTGTTCAGTTTAGGACTCAGCTCTCTTGGATCTGCTAAATTAGTTGCCACTTATTCATTTGTTTTCCAGCTTCCAAGAGGGCATAGTTGTCTCCATTCCCATTGCTAACTCATGGCCCACTCTGCGTGTGTATGATCTTTCTAGGATCTCAAGTGAAAACCTCAGGTCTTCGCCAAGGTCTCTCTACTCTGGCTGGGGCCAAACTCCAACTCTCCTAGCCCTGAAAAGCCTCTGAAACTTCAACTCAGCTGTCTAGCTGCAGAGGCTATTCTCTACTCCATCTGCAGAGTCTTGCCCTGTGTATGGGAGTTTAGGAGTCAGCGAAGCCTCAAGAAGGAGAATTTTAAAATAATCAACTTCTGGCTGGGCGCGGTGGCTCATGCCTGTAATCCCAGCACTTTGGAAGACTGAAGCGGGTGGATCAATTGAGGCCAGGAGTTTGAGACCAGCCTGACCAACATGGTGAAAACCCTGTCTCTGCAAAAATACAAAAATTAGCTGGGCGTATTGGTCTGAGCCTGTAATCCTAGTTACTTGGGAGGCTGAGGCAGGAGAATCACTTGAACCCAGGAGGCAGAGGTTGCAGTGAGCCGATAGTCTGCCACTGCACTCCAGCCTGGGCGACTGAGTGAGATTCCAACTCAAAAAAATAAAATAATCAACTTTGGCTAGGTGTGGAAGCTCATGTTTGTAATACCAGCACTTTGGGAGGCTGAGGATGGAGGATCACTTGAGCCCAGGAGTTTGAGACCAGCCTGGGCAACATAGTGAGACTGCATTTCTATTAAAAAATTAACAAATTAGCAGGGCTTGGTGATGCATACCTGTAGTCCCAGCTACCCGGGATGCGGAGGTGGGAGGATTGCATGAGTCTGGGAGGTCAAGGTTGCAGCAAGATGCGATCGCACCACTATTTTCCAGCCTGGACAATAGAGGGAGACCCCAACTCAATAAACAAAATAAAATACAATAACTTTATTGATTTAAAATACAGTACGTTGGGATTTAAGATGAGCAATGCCAATCTCATCGTATTTTAGCCTATTGTAACTATCACTGCCTTAGTAAAATTACTAGGAAATGGTCTAGGGCAATTTTTTTTTAATGTTCATTCAGAGTGTTGGTGATGATGGGTGAGCTTGACAAAGGCATTCTTCAAAAATAAAAACTGGCCAGGTGTGGTGGCTCACACCTGTAATCCCAGCACTTTGGGAGGTTGAGGCAGGAGGATCACTTGAGCCCAGGAATTTGAGACCAGTCTGGGCAACACTGGGAGACCCCATCTCTACAAAAATTAAAAAATTAGCTGGCCATGGTGGTTTGCACCTGTAGTCCCAGCTTCTCGGAAGGCTGAGGTGGGAGGATCACTTGAGCCCCAGGGGACAAGGCTGCAGTGAGCTGTAATCGCTCCACTGTGCTCCAGCCTGGGTGACAGAGCGAGACCCTGTTTCAAAATAAATAAATACAAAATGTAATTAATATATTGATATACTTACAATAAAACTCACTCATCTTAAGAGCACAGTTTAATGGCTTTTGATGAATGTAAACACATGTGTAACCATCACCACAATCAAAATATAGAATATTTTTATCCCTCAAAAAGCTTCCTTGTGTCTCAAGAAGGATTTTTATGCAGAATTTTTGGGTTTCTGCTCTGTGTCTGCTTCCTCTCCCCGAAATCCCTGTTGCCTCAGCAGCCTTCACTCTCATCTGTTTTCCCCAGCTAGTAACACTGCTAGTCTCTCCTTGGACACTGTTTCCCATAGTCAAGAAAACGTCTTCAGCGTGAAAGCAGGGGTGAACTCTCTTAGTGACCATAGCCCTGTACTGGTTGATGTTGCATATCTGCAAAGAGTTATTTACTATATTTTGTCCGGGCTTTATATTCACCCACAGCAGAGGCCAAGGAAAGATAAATATGATACCCACTACTCCATCAGACACCTCCATCAGACCTAGAACCAGAGGCTTTAAAATACCTTTTTTTTTTTTTTTTGAAAGGGAGTTTTGCTCTGTCAATCACGCTGGAATGCAGTGGTACAATCTTGACTCACTGAAACCTCCACCTCCCAGGTTCAAGCTATCCTCCTGCCTCAGCCTCCCGAGTAGCTGGGACTACAGGTGCATGCCACCACGCCCAGCTAATTTTTGTATTTTTTTAGTAAAGACAGGGTTTCACCATGTTGACCAGGCTGGTTTCAAACTCCTGACCTCAAATGAAGTACCCAAAGTGCTGGGATTGCAGGCATGACCCACCTAGCCTGACCTAAAATAGATTTTTAAATACACATTTTTCACATTTTCTTGACATGCTGGCTAAAACGGGGAACATGCAGAAAACACTTCACCAAAGTCTCTTCCTTATGGCAATAAGGAGAGCCCTTGTATTTGGAGCTCTCCTGGTATCTTGAAGATAATCCAAAGAGAATGAATCTAGTGGTGCTGTATTCTGCCACTTCCTCATTGGGTAGCCTCTGGCCACTCCTGGGGGGTGAGTGGTGGTAGGATGTTGTGATTGTCAAACCAACTACCTGGGAGGCCCTGTGGGGTGTGATTTTTATTTATTTATTTTTTGAGACGAAGTCTTGCTTTGTCACCCAGGCTAGAGTGCAGTGGCGCGATCTCGGCTCACTGCAACCTCCACTTCCCAAGGTCAAGTGATTCTCCTGCCTCAGCCTCCCAAGTAGCTGGGATTACAGGGGCCCACCACCGCCCCTGGCTAATTTTTGTATTTTTAGTAGAGACGGGGTTTCACCATATTGGCCAGGCTGGTCTCGAACTCCTAACCTCGTGATCACCTGCCTCGGCCTCCCAAAGTGCTGGGATTACAGGCGTGAGCCACTACGCCTGGCCAGGGTGTGATTTTAGAGTCAGATGGAGCAGGGTTTGCATTTTGGCTCTGACATTTACTGTGTGCCTGGGGAAAGTGATGGAATCACTCTGGGCTTGGTTTTCTTATTTACAAAACAGAGAGAGTGATACCAATCTTGGAGGATCATTAGAAGAGTTAATGATGTAGCATATCATATGCTCAGCTGAGTGCCTTCTACGTAGCAACATCCAATATGTGATGGCCACTGATAGCTCTATTTATGGACAGGAAGATGCTTTGTACCCTGTTAAGTAGTTCATAAACTTGGTGGTCAGCATCTTTTGGACAGCCCAGCGTCTAAATCCCCCTTCCTCCACTGTGTGAAGGCCTCCCCTTGCTTCTTGTTCCCCAGGACAGGAATGATAGATATTCACTGTCCCCGTTCTTGCTCTGTGGTGGTCAGTGTGGCTCACTGGATGCTCCTGCTAAGAAAAACGGGAGAATGTTATTTGGGTAGTGGAGGCAGAGGCAGCACCGGGTCCCTTGGCATGGAACCCAGTGTCCTAACCGGACCATGCCTTGGGTGGGATCCAGCTGGACTCTGCTGCCAGTAACCCTTGTTTTTTGCTCATTTTCTCATCCTGGGTTTCCAGCCTTCCTGATGATTCTGTGAGCTGCCTGATATGTTTCCAAAAACATGACAAAACAAAGCTTTTCCACTTCATTAACCAGATTTGGTTTCTATTTCTTGTTACCAGGAACTCTGATTAATACACTTGGCGCCAAAAACAATGCAAGTTATTAAAAACAGGGCCATGAGGTCTGACACACCTGTGGGACTGAGAACGCTAAGTGAACACACTTGTTCTCCTGGTTGCTCTCTTAGCCTTAAGGACAGGCAACTCATGAAAAAAGAAAAATAGCCAAGAAAATCTGAACCTCAGGAGTAAACAAAGAAGTAAAAATTAAAACAGATAGGGCCAGACACGGTGGCTCATGTCTGTAATCCCAGCACTTTGGGAGGTTGAGGCAGGCAGATCACTTGAGCCCAAGAATTCAACACCAGCCTGGGCAACATGGCAAAACCCGTCTCTACTAAAAATTCAAAAATTAGCTAGGCATGGTGTCACGTGCCTGTAGTCCCAGCTACTCAGGAGGCTGAGGTGGGAGGATGGCTTGAGCCCCGGAGGTGGAAGATGGTAGTGAGCTGAGATTGCATCACTGCACTCCAGCCTGGGTGACAGAGCAAGGCCCTCTCTCAAAATAATAAATAAAGAAAATAAAATAGATAACATTTTCTCTTGTCAAATTGATAAATGCCCATACATAGATAAATACATGTGCATATAATGAAGTGATAATAGCTGGTGTTGGCAAGGGAGCAAGTGTCCCACAAGGCGACAGAGAGAGTGCACAGCCTGGGCCAGTCCCAGGGAAGTCCAGCGGAGTGATGGAAACTTACTATTTGAGAAACACTTTAAAGACGGCTTACTGTTGTCTGAGCCGTTTTTCTTTTTTGGAGATGGAGTCTCTCTGTGTTGCTGAGGCTCGAGTGCAGTGGCACAATCTCAACTGACTGCAACTTCCACCTCCTGGGTTCAAGTGATTTTCCTGCCTCAGCCTCCGGAGTAGCTGGGATTACAGGCACCCGCCATCACACCTGCTAATTTTTGTATTTTTAATAGAGACAGGGTTTCACCATGTTGGCCAGGCTGGTCTTGAACTCCTGACCTCAAGTGATCCACCAGCCTCAGCCTCCCAGCCTTCTGGATTACAGGAGTGAGCCACTGTGCTCGGTCTCTGAGCCGTTTTTCTATAGGACAAGAGCAGGGACAGTAATTACTCCCATATGCATGGTTTTTCTGGGAAGTATGACTTGGCTGTGCCTTTACAAAAAAGTATGGTAAAATATATGTAACATAAAATGTACTATCTTCACTGCTTTTAAGTGTATATTTCAGTGAAATTAAGTACATTCACATTGTTGTACAACCAATCTCCAGAACCGTTTTACTGTTTTCATCTTACGAAACTGAAACTCAGCACCTTTAAACAATAACTCCCCATTTCCCCCACCCCCTACCCATAGCAACCACCATTCTATTTCGTTTTTACCAATACGACTGCCCTAGGTATGTCATATAAGTGGAATCACACAGTAGGTGTCCTTTTGTGATTGGCTTATTTCACTTAGCATAATGTCTTCAAGGCCCATCCATGCTGTAGCATGTGTCAGAATTTCCTTCCTTTTCAGGGCTGAATCATATTTCACTATATGTATAGACCACATTTTGTTTTGATGGACACTTGCGCTGCTTCTGCTTTTTGGCTATTGTGAATAATGTGGCTGTGGACATGGGTGTGCAACTATCTATTCATTTGTAGCCTGGGTACCAGCTCGGGTCACCTTCTTTTGATACTTTAATAAAATTGACTTGAAATATACATACAGCCGCCCACTACCCCAAACAAAAGAGAAGGGAAGCCTTCCTAGAAGTTGATGTAGTATCTCAAGGTGCCCCCTGCTCCCCATGGAGACCCTGATGACACCACTTCTGGAGTGCCAAGTGCTGCACCAGGACTCTACTGCTTTTGTTCTGACTGCAGCCTCACGAGGTGGGCAAGGCCACTGCTGTCCCATTTGGGCCTCTTTACAAATGAGGAAAAGACGCACATTTTCCCTGGCAAAACTCCAGCTTGGACAGCAGAGTAGGGAGCACATTGGAGGCCCCACTCAGGTCCTTGGCATGGCTCCCTTGCACAAGGTACAGCCTACACTATTCTACATGACAGCCCTGAGGCAGGCATGGCTGGCAACCCAGCCTTACTGGTGAGAAAAGCGAAGCACAGAGGTGAGGAGTCTGCAAATTTTTTTTTAACTTTTTTTTTTTTTGAGACAGGGTCTTGCCTGTTGCTCAGGCTGGAGTACAGTGGCACCGTCGTGACTCGCTGCAGCCTCGGCCTCCCAGACTCAAGACATCCTCCCACCTCAGCCTTCGAAGTAGCTGGGACCATAGGCATGCACCACCACATCCTGTTAATTTTTTTTTTCTTTTTTTTTGAGGCAGAGTCTCACTCTGTTGTCCAGGCTGGAGTGTAGTGGTATGATCTTGGCTCACTGCAGCCTGTTTCCCAGGTTCAAGCAATTCTCCTGCCTCAGCCTCCTGAGTAGCTGGGATTACAGGCACGTGCCACCACACCTGGCTAATTTTTTTGTATTTTTAGTAGAGACAGGGTTTCACCATGTTGGCCAAGCTGGTCTTGAACTCCTGACCTCAAATTATCCATCTGCCTCAGCCTTCAAAAGTGCCGGGATTACAGGTGTGAGCCATCGCACCTGGCCTCACACCCTGTTAATTAAAAAAATTTTTTTTTTGTAGAGATGGGGTCTCCTTGGGTTGCCGAGGCTGGTCTCAAACTCCTAGGCTCAAGTTCTCCTCCCACCTGGGCCTCCCAAACTGCCGGGATTACAGGCATGAGCTCCTGCGCTGGGCCTAGAGTTTGCAAGTTTGAAGCCTAGGGAGCATGTAGCCGGCTTTCAAATGTAGATCTTATTTATATTCACATATGGTGAGGCCAGGAGATCAGGATCTGATTGCTATCGAAAGAATAATTGTTACTCACAGTTCCCAAGTAGAGAGGGCGGGTCATACCAGGCAGGGCCAGGAGTGGAGGCCTCAGGGTGGTCAGAAGGCAGAGTCAGGGAGGGGAAAATGTAGGCAGGAGCATTTGCTGTGTTTCTGAGGGAAGGAATGGTCGAGGCAGGGTAGGAAGCAGGCCTAGAATTGGCTACTGTGAATAATTTCAGTGGGCTTGTCAGTGGGGTGTAAGGGCTGGGGAATAGTGGCCTGGAGCGTGAGAACCCTGGAAGGGCCCTGTAAAGGGAATAGTTGGAAAATAGACTCTGGATTGGTTGGTTGGTATACAAAAGGCATGCTCACAAGTGAGTCCCTTACCATCTCTAGCCATGGGAGGGGCAGTTTCTCTAGGGTCAGCAAAGCCCCAAGATGTCAAACATCAGAATAAAGACATGCTTAATACAAAGACAAAGCCTAGGTTCTGAATCCCTTTGCCATCATTTTTTAACCCTTTCTCTGTCAGTGGCTTTCAAACCTTTGCATTTCTTTTCCTCTGGCAGGGCACCCCTTTTCCTAAGTGAAATCTTGAGGCAGCCCAGTCTGTTAAAGAACGCTGCTCTGGCAGAAGGGAATTGTGGGGAGGGACCCTATCACCTGGCACCAGTTCATTTTTATTTTTAATTTTTTTTTGAGAGACAGGGTCTCACTCTGTTGCTCAGACTAAAGTGCTGTGGTGTGATCATGGATCTCTGTGGCCTTGAGCTTCTGGGCTTGAACAATGCTCCCACCCCAGCCTCTCAAGTAGCTAGGACTACGTGTGCACACCACCATGCCTGACTACCCGTTCATTTTATTTTATTTTTTATTTTTATTTATTTATTTTTATTTTTTGAGATGGAGTCTCGCTCTGTCACCCAGGCTGGAGTGAGTGCAGTGGTGCAACCTTGGCTCACTGCAACCTCTGCCTCCCGAGTTCAAGTGATTCTCCTGCCTCAGTCTCCCGAGTAGCTGGGACTACAGGTGTGCGCCACCATACCTGGCTAATTTTTGTGTATTTTTAGTAGAGATGCGGTTTCAACCATATTGGCCAGACTGATCTTGAGCTCCTGACCTGTGAACCTCCTGCCTCAGCCTCCCAAAGTGCTGGGAGCCACTGCGCCCAGCCCCCGTTCATTTTAGAATCAGTCTTCAAGGCTGCCCCACGGAGAGTCTTCTGGTCCCCCTTAACAAGAGCAGAAAAGTAAAAGGATAGGCAGGGGCAGGGCACTTGGGGTGGCTACTCAGTGGTTATGTGGCCCTGGGTCAGTGCCATCCCTCTCTCCTTTTTAAACATCTTTATTGAGACATAATTCACATAGTATACAATTCACCCATTTAAATTGTACAATTCACTGGCTTTTAGCATATTTGCATAATTGTATATCTATCACCACAGTCAGTTTTAGAACATTTTCATCACCCTAAGAAGAAACTCCTTAGCTCAGGGGTCCCCAACTCCTGGGCCACAGACTGGTAAGAGTAATGGTCCACAGCCCAGCCTGTTAGGAACCTGGCCGCACAGCAGAAGGTGAGCAGTGGGCAAGCGAGTGAAGCTTCATCTGTGTTTACAGTCACTCTGCATTGCTCGTATTACCACCTGAGCTCCACCTCCTGTCAGATCAGCAGTGGCATTCAAGTCTCATAGAACCATGAACGCTATTGTGAACTGCGCATGCGAGGGATGTAGGTTGTGCCCCTTATGAAAATCTAATGCCTGATGATCTGAGGTGAAGCTGAGGCGGTGATGCTTGCCCTGGGGAGTGGCTGCAAATACAGATGAATGTTAGCAGAGAAGTTTGCCTGCACAGAGACCATCATAAATCAATTGCTTGCAGACCCATATCAAATCCCCATCAGTGAGTGGCAAGGGAAAATTAAGCTGAATCTGGTGGCAGGTTTTATGGTGGCAAGTGAGTCAATGTACTTCAGTTGCACAGCTGCCTTGAAAGTATCTTTGAGACAACTTCAAGTCTCTGTACGTTCTGGATTAAAGTCAAGGCAGAATGTCCTGAGACTGCCAGAAAAACACTGAAAAGCCTGCTTCCGTTTCCAACATCCTATCCTTGTGAAGCAGGGTTTTCCTCAGTGAACCAAAATGAGATTATGGAGTAGACTGGGCATAAGCAACACACTTAGGGTATCCCTGTCTCCCAAACCCCCTAGATGGGACCGTCTAGTTGCAGGAAAACAAGCTCAGGGCTCCCACTGATTCTACATTATGGTGAGTTGTATAATTATTTCATTATATATTACAATGTAATAATAATATAAATAAAGTGCACAATAAACTGTTATGCACTTGAATCATCTGGAAACTACCTCCCATCCTCCAGCAGTCTGTGGAAAAATTGTCTTCCATGAAACCAGTCCCTGGTGCAAAAAGGTTGGAGACCACTGCCTTAGCTGTTCTCTCACCCTGATTTCTCCTCTCCCCCAACCCTAGGCAACCAATAATCTACTCTCTGTTGCTTTCAATTTCCCTATTCTGGACATTCCATATGAATGGAATCATTTACTATGTGATCCTGTGTGGTCTTCTATGACTGGCTTCATTCACATAGTATGTTTTCAGAGTTCATCCATGTTGTAGCATGTATCAGAACTTCATTCCTTTCTATGATTGAATAATATTTCGTTGTATGGACAGATCACATTTTGTTTATCCATTCATCAGTTGATAGACTTTTGGGGAGATTCCATTTTTGGGTACTACGGATAATGCTGCTATGGACATTTTCGTGCCAGCTTTCGTGTGGAGGTATATTTTCATTTGTCTTGGGTGTCTACTAGCTAAGAGAGGAATGGCCGGGTCATGTGGTGTCCATATGTTTAATTTTTTGAGGAACTGCCAAACTGTGTCTCAAAGTGGCTGCCCCATTTGACATTCCTACCAGCAGTGTAGGAGGGTTCTGATTTCTCCACATCCTTGCAAATACTTGTAATTGTTCATCTTTTTATTCCAGCCATCCCAGTGGCCGTGAGGAGGTATCTCATTGTGTGTGGGTGTTTTCTTTTTGAGACAGAATTTCACTCTTGTCACCCAGGATGGAGTGCAATGATGCAATCTTGACTCACTGAGATTACAAGTGTAAGCCACCGCGCCCGGCATCAGCCATGTGTTTTTCAAAAAAAATTTCTTTTTTCTATTCTGTTTTTTGAGACAGGCTCTCTGTTGCCCAGGTTGGAGTGCAGTGGCACGATCTCGGCTCACTGCAGCCTTGACCTCCCAGGCACTGATCCTCCTACCTCAGCCTCCCAAGTAGGTGGAACTACAGGTGTGCACCACCACGCCTGGCTAATTTTTAATAGAGACAGGGTTTCACCATGTTGTCCAGGCTGAAATTTTTATTTTTTGTTTTTTGAGACAGGGTCTTATTCTGTCACCCAGACTGGAGTGCAATCTTGGCTTACTGCAACCTCCACCTCTCGGGTTCAAGTTATTCTCCTGCTTCAGCCTCCCGAGTAGCTGAGACTACAGGTGCACACCACTACACCCAGCGAATTTTTTTATTTGAAAAAAATGTTTAAAAAAAATTTTTAGGCCAGGCTCAGTGGCTCACAGCTCTAATCCCAGCGCTTTGGGAGGCCGAGGCAGGTGGATCACGAGGTCAAGAGATCGAGACCATCCTGGCCAATATGATGAAAACCCGTCTTCACTAAAAATACAAAAATTAGCTGGGTGTGGTGGCGCACGCCTGTAGTCCCAGCTACCCGGGAGGCCGAGGCAGGAGAATTGCTTGAACCTGGGAGGCGGAGGTTGCAAAGAGCTGAGATCGTGCCACTGCACTCCAGCCTGGTGACAGAGTGAGAATCTGTCTCAAAAAAAAAAAAAATTTTTTTTTAAAGAGGGTCTCCCTCTGTTGCCTAGGCTGGTGGTGCAGTGGCACAATCTTAGCTCACTGTAACCTCAAACTCCTGGGCTCAAGTGATCCCCCTGCCTCAGCCTCCCAAAGTGCTGGGATAACAGGTGGGAACCACCTTGCCTGGCTCCAGTGTGGTTTTGATGCACACTTTCCTGGTGGCTCACCTTCCCTGCTTCTCTTATACTCTCTGCAAAGGGAGAATCCAGAGGTTTCTCAAGTTCCCTGAGGGGTGCTGTCACGCCCCTTTCCTCCCTGTCACCACACTCCCTACTCCCCACCCCCCACCTACAGCTGTGATTCTCCATGGTGCTGAGAGGAACCCTTCGTGAACTCAGGATGTCAAGCTAGAGAGACCTTCATCTTCATCCAGTCCAAACTGCTAAACTATCTGACAGGTGAGGAAACTGAGGCCCAGAGGGATGTGGGTTACTTAATTAATGGTGCCTGGCATGTTAGTGGCAGAGCTGGGTTGAGACCAGAGAATCCATGCTTGCACAGGGGACAAGGAGCTCTGGGTTTGATTCTAGACTGTCGCCATGACTGTGCCCTCCCTCCCTCCCTCCCTCCCTCCCTCCCTTCCTTCCTTCCTTTTCTTCCCTTTCTTTCCTTTCTTCTTTCGAGACAGGGTCACACTCTGTCACCCAGGCTGAAGTGCAGTGTTGAGATTATGGTTCACTGCAGCCTTGACCTCCTGGGCTCGAGTAATCTTCCCAGCTCAGCTTCCTGAGTAGTCGGGATTATAGGTGTGCACCACCTCCAGCTAATTTTTAAATATTTTTGTAGAGACAGGGTCTCACTCTGTTGCTCAGGCTTATCTTGAACTCCTGGGCTCCAGTGATCCTCCCGCCTTGGCCTTCCAAAGTGCTGGGATTACAGGCATGAGCCGCCACTGCCGGCCTTGTGGGCCACTTTCTGAACCTTTCTGAACAGCAGTTTCCTCATCCATATAATGGAGATGATACCTACCCTATGGGGTTGTTTTGAGCATATAAAATATTTAATATAGTAAGTAAATAACTTATTTAATTTTGGAATAATTACTATTTAAGTGCCTATGATAAAAGAAAGTCAAATAGTACAAAGGAGTATAACGTGAAAAAGAAACCTCTTTCTCCAACCCCGTCCTGGGGGCCACCATTACCACCAGACTCTTGTCTTTTCTGTCAGATCTCTTCTATGGATATAATGGAAGTTATTTATCACATGGGACCTTAGAGTTGGAGATCATTAACTTGCCTGCTTTTCTAAGCTGGTCTTTCCCACTTTGCCCCTTCAACCCCCCTTCTTGTGGCAGCACACAAACCGTGGGCCTCCCTTATTTGTCCAGCTCCCCCTTCCCAAGCCCCCTCCACCTGGTAATGATTTCCTAGAGCGTCTCCCAGGGGTCTCCATGGGGACGTTTCCTGCTCCAATCTCCATGGCAACTCTTCAGGTTGCCATGGTGACACTTAAGCGATTATTTGGAGACCCTTAAATAAATCACCCGTGGTGGTATATGCTAGACGTGTTTGGCTCTGGCTCTTGTGTTTGGGGCCAGGGTTGGGGCCCAGGCCCGAAGGCAGAAAATGTGGGGAGGTGGGAGATGGTGGTCAGAGCCCGATGCCCTTGGTCTGGCCCTGTGAGGGGCCCTCTTTGGGCAAAATTGGAATTGAGCCTTTTGTGAAGTGGTGGGAGGACAACAGGCAGTTATGCTTGTGCAGTCCTTAAATAGGGAGACCCTGCAGCCAGCAGGACATCTTAACTCTGATCAGGATGGGGGCAACTTGGAGCTATGCAGTAACCAAGCAGGGATTCCACTCCAGGCCTGCTGGGCTCCAAGGCCCTCACTCCTCCTTGACGTCAAATTCTAAAAGGGAATTTAAGATGGAATCCACTCCTTCATATATTCATTTATTTGACCGATGTGTTTAAAGTGGCTACTATGTGCCAGGCACTGTGTGCTAAGCATTGGGAATACAGCAGTGAATTAAAAAACAAAACCCCTGTCCTCATGGAGCTTATATTCGACCAGCGAGAGGCAGACAATTAGCAAAACAAAACATCCATGGCCGGGCGCAGTGCTTCATGCCTGTAATTCCAGCATTTTGGGATGCCAAGGTGGGTGGATCACCTGAGGTCAGGAGTTCGAGACCAGCCTGGCCAACATGGTGAAACCCCATTTCTACTAAAAATACCAAAATTAGCCGGGCATGGTGGTGTGTGCCTGTAATCTCAGCTACTTAGGAGGCTGAGGCAGGAGAATCATTTGAACCCAGGAGGCAGAGGTTGCAGTGAGCTGAGATCATGCCATTGCACTCCAGCCTGGGCAAAAAGAACAAAACTGTCCCCCCTCTCCCCATCCCCCCTCCAAAATGCAAAAAAAAAAAAACCACCCAGGTTAGACAGTAGTTTCAGTATTAGGGAAGGGGCCTAGAGAACAGCAGGGTAAGCTGTGGCACACACTGACACCAGGGCCGGGTTGGGGGGGGGTCCCAGGCACCGTCTTGGGGCTCAGCTTCAGGTCCCAGGACAATTCCTGAAAGGTAAGAGGGTGAGGTATGGAAGGAGCTAGCCAATACTTGAGACTCCATCAGCAGTGACCAGCTCCCTCCGCGTGTTCTGCCTAAGCGATGTACAAAGCTTTCCAGCTTCTAGATGCCTCACGGATGCTTGGAAGCAGAAATGCATGGCTGAGACTTTAATCTCCACTATATAGACTGGGAAACAGATGCAGAAGGGAGGCAGCCTGCCGAAGGCAATGCCGCTAATGGCAGGCAGAAAGGTGGCTAGAACTGGAGTCATGGCTATCCCAGTCCAGGTCCATTTCTGCCAGACCAGTGGATTTATCACCAGATCTGCAAATTCATACTTCCCTGAGTGCTGTCTTACTGAATAAGTAGCTTATCTTGTACATGAGGAAGATCATGTTGTCTATGGGGAGAGATTGTGATTTACCTGTAACACCAGTGTCAGGTGATTATACCATGCTCCCTGACTCGGAGCTTTACTGCAGGCCACTCGGGTCAGGCCTGTTCCTCGGTGGTGGAACAGACTGCAAGGTACAAGAACAGGCTTCTTCTAGCCTCCGACTTCCCCAGCCCACTGGCACTCCTCCCAGAAATGAAGTTTGGAAGCACAGGCCTACTTAAGGCCTGGACAACCCAAAAAGCTTCCTGAGAAGGTGATGAGACTCGGGTCTGGATACACTGGGCTCTCTTCATGTTTTTTCCCTTTCCTTTCTTTTTCTTTTTTTTCCCCCTGAAACAGGGTCTTCTTCTGTCACCCAGGCTGGAGTGCATTGGCGCAATTTTGGCTCACCGCAGCCTCTGCCTCCCAGGTCCAAGCGATTCTCATGCTTCAGCCTCCCGAGTAGCTGGGACTACAGGCACATGCCACCATGCCTGGCTAATTTTTGTATCTTTAGTAGAGATGGGGTGTCACCATGTTGGCCAGGCTGATCTCGAACTCCTGACCTCAAGTGATCCATCTACCTCGGCCTCCCAAGTGCTGGGATGCTGGGATTATGGGTGTGAGCCACTGCACTTGGCCTTTTCTTTTTTAAAAAAATTAGATCCATATTTTTAGGACGAGTTCATTTGGCTGGTGAGTTGTTCCATACTCCTTGGCAGATTCCAGCTTCCATGACTACCATCCTGCTTCTCTTTTCTGAGTGTGGACTATCCACCTTCATACAGGTCTCAGGGTTGGGGCCAGGCTAGCAGGAAATAGAAAATCATTTCTGGTTAGCCTAAGCCCCAGGAAGCATTTACTGGAAAGTTCTTGGAGAGTAAATGGAGGAGCTGAATGGCCAACCCCTAGGCTATGTGGCTACTGAGCATGTGAAACTCGCTATGTGCTAAGTGTAAAATAGACACTGGAATTGGAAAACTTAGTATGAAAATAAGAGTGTAAAATATCTCAGTCATTTTTATATTGATTACATGTTGAAATGACATTTTGGGTACGTTGGGTTAAATAAAATGCATTGTTAAAATTAATTTCTCATTTTTTCTCCCTAGGCTCAGGTGATCCTCCCACCTCAGCCTCCCAAGTAGCTGGGATTACAAGTGCGTGCCACCATGCCTGGATAATGTTTTGTATTCTTTGTAAAGACAGGGTTTTGACATGTTGCTCAGGATGGTCTCAAACTCCTGGATTCAAGCAGTACTCCTGCCTCAGCCTCCCAAAGTGCTGGGATTACAGACGTGAGCTACCATACCTGGCCAATACTAGATTTAAAATTACATATGGGCCAGGAGTGGTGGCTCACACCTGTAATCCCAGTACTTTGGGAGGCCGAGGTGGGTGGATCACGTGAGGTCAGGAGTTCAAGACCAGTCTGACCAATATGGTGAAACCCCATCTCTACTAAAAATATGAAAAAATTAGCTGGGCATAGTGGCGTGTGCCTGTACTGCCAGCTACTTGGGTGGCTGAGACAGGAAAATTGCTTGAACCCAGGAGGTGGAGGTTGCAGTGAGCCAAGACTGCGCCACTGCACTCTAGCCTGGGCAACAGATCAAGACTCCATCTCAAAAACAAAAACAAAAACAAATTACATATGACTTACATAATTACTGTCATCTATATTACTATATACTACAGTACTGCTGGACAGTGCTGTGACTAGATTAATTCCACAAGGAAAAGAGCCATAGGAATATTGCTCATCATTCTAAACCCAGGACCTGGTATTGGCGCCAGGATATAGTAGGGGGTCAAAAAAGTGTTATTTGTTGAATGAATGTTTGACAGTCACATTTTCCATCAGCCCTGAAACATTTTAAACAGCCTGCAAAGGGAATGTGATCTAATTTAAATGTCAGTTTATATATTTAAAACAAAACAAAACAAAAAAACCCCACCGTAACTCAAGCATGAAATTTGCAAGAAGGGGAAAGGAAAAGGGAGAATGAAGGGATCAGGGTCTCAGTCTCTTTTTTCTGAGGGATTAGGGGGATATTCTGACCTTTGTCAAGCCAAAAAAGAAAAAAAGAAAGGTCCTGCCCATCAGAGGCAGAGATACGATCATCCTCCACTTCCTGTGGCCCTCCCCCTCTTTCTTTGCTAACAGAGGCGTCTATTTTTAGCTAGGCACATGGCCACCCAGAGTCCAAACATTTTCCAGCCTCTCTGGAGCTGGGTTTGGCTACGTAAGTTCTGGCTCATGGGATGTAAACAGAAGTGTCAAGTAACTTTTGGGAACTTTCCTTAAAGGGAAGTGCTATGTCTCTTTCCCCTTCTCCTGGCTGGAATGCCTAGAACCTCAGCAGCCACATTGAACCATGAGGAATGGTGGAGGGGTGGTGTAGCAGAAGGCTGGGAGGGGCCTGGGTCCCTCCCCGACAACTTGGTGAACTGTCGTATCAGCCTTGGAATGCCTACTGTGGACTTTTCATGTCAGAAAAGAAAATCCTATGTATTTCAGGCTTGTTGACTTGCATTTTTTGGTCACCTTGTCCTAACTGGTGACTGGTGCCTACCAGCCTTACGTTGCTATCACTGGAAGGGACCACTCAACTACCTTGAGAACACTCAAGTACCTTCCCGGACAGGGTCTGCTCCAAGATGACTGGATTTCTTTACCATCAGCTGTTGATTTATTTTTTTGAGACAGGGTCTCACTGTGTTGCCCAGGCCGGAATGCAGTGGATCTTGGCTCACTGCAGCCTCCACCTCCTGGGCTCAATTGATCCTCCCACCTCAGCTGGGACCACAGATGTGAGCCATGATGCCCAGTTAATTTTTTTGTATTTTTTGTAGAGATGGGGTTTTGCCATGTTGCCCAGGCTGCTAGGTATTGATTAAAAAAAAAAACAAAAACTGGCAAGACCTTCAGAAGGTACAAAATTAGAAAGGTACAATAGAACAGAGTGAAGCCTGGGCAACATGGTGAAACCCCATCTCTACCAAAAAAAAAAAAAAAAAAAAAGAAAGAAAAATTAGCTGGGCAATGTGCCTGTAGTCCTACTCGCTCTGGAGGCTGAGATGGGAAGGACTGCTTGAGCCTGGGAGGTGAAGAGGTTGCAGCGACCCGAGATCATCACGCCACTCTACTCCAGCCTGGGCGACAGAGCATGAACCTGTCTGGGAAAACAAACAAACAAAAAACATAGGGTCACTTCCTACCTCTGTCCTTGTCATACCCATTTTCTGTTCCATTCTTCTTCTTCTTCTTTTTTTTTTTTTTTTAACAGGGTCTCACTCTGTTACCCATACTGAAGTACAGTGGCGTGATCTTGGCTCATCACAACCTCTGCCTCCCAGGATCAAGTGATTCTCCTGCCTCAGCCTCCTGAGTAGCTGGGATTACAGGTGTGTACCACTAGTACCCGGCTAATTTTTGTATTTTTAGTAGAGACGGGGTTTCACCATGTTGGCCAGGCTGGTCTTAAACTCCTGACCTCAAATGATCCACCAGCCTCAGCCTCCCAAAGTGTTGGGATTATAGGCATGAGCCACTGTGCCCGGCCCTAATATATTCTTTTAAAGAGAGAGAAAAATGTTAAGTTCTCCCTTATGGGATACCTTCTTACATAATCTAAATACATAGCTGTTGTCAACATCCATACCTCTACAAAAAAACCTGCCTGTCTGAATTATTCTGGTCTTACTACCTGTGACTCTAAAATGAGATCACGCTTACCTTATGGCCTGCATTAAAGTGTTCAAGCCCTCAACCACACAGTGGCCACATCCATCCCCTTCCCGAACCCTTCTCCCCCCCCATGTAAAATACTTCCCACGACCTACTGATTGAGCAGACAGCTGGGTAGTCATTATGTCTAGGGAGGCTGGATCCCAAGTCCACCAAGCTCCACTTAGGGTCAAATAAAGAGAGCCAGGGGATTGGTTTTTAGTTGTGAATTCACAGACCATGTTTTTCAGTAAAAAAAAAAGTCACTGTATTAATAATTGCAAACATTTAATGTGTATTATGTGCCAGGCACTGTACTAAGACCTTTTTATGTGTAATCACGTTTAAAACTCACAATGACCCAATGAGTCAAACACTACTAAACAGTATTCCTAGCTTATAAATGAGTAAAGTGAGGCAAGGAGAGGTTAAGTAATTTGTTCATGTGCACCAGATGGAAAGGGAGAATTGACGCTGGGCATGGCGGCTCACGCCTGTAATCCCAGCACTTTGAGAGGATTGCTTGAGCCCAGGTGTTCGAGACCAGCTGGGCAACATATAGCAAGACCTGTCTCTATTTAAAATAAAAAAAAAAATTATAAAAATAAAAAAAAGAAAGGGGGAGTTGGGATTTAAATCCTGACACTGATTGTAGAACTCAGGCTCTTAACAAGATGACCCTGACCAGATGGTAAGCTCCATTCATGCAGGGACCTTCCCCAAGGGCCTAGTGCACTGCCTGGCACAGAGCAGAAGTGTAGCAAATATTAATGGATTCAAATGTTCACACGCTAACACTGCCAGTAGGTTGAGGAAAGGATGGTGGCAACGTTTCCCAGTGACTGCAGGCTTGTGTCCTCGCTCAGGGCACACTCCCCAGAATCCAAGCCTAAGGTAAGGAGGCCAAATTAGTGTCATGAGAGGCCCTGTGGGAGGGGTTGGAACCAGAGGGCTGCAGCCACAGAAGGACCTTTCTTTACCCTGGTGGGCCTGATGTGCCCACGGGAGCACAATCCCTTGATCTGCAGCTTCCACCCCAGAGTGTGCTGGACACACTTCTGCACACTGAACCTGAGCCTTTTTGCTTCACCCGCTTCTGTGGAATTCCTTTTAGATGTATTAACATCTTTTTTTTTTTTTTTTTTTTTTTTTCTGAGATGGAGTCTCGCTCTGTCTCCCAGGCTGGAGTGCAATGGTGTGATCTCGGCTCACTGCAACCTCTGTCTCCTTGGTTCAAGCAATTCTCCTACCTCAGCCTCCCCAGTAGCTGGGATTACAGGCACGTGCCACCACACCCAGCTAATTTTTCTATTTTTAGTAGAGACGGGGTTTCACCATGTTGGCCAGGCTGGTCTCCAACTCCTGACCTCAGGTGATCCACTCGCCTCGGCCTCCCAAAGTGCTGGAATTACAGGCGTGAACCACCGTGCCTGGCCAGATGTATTAACATCTGATTCACCTATTGTGTTTACTGCTGCACCCCTAATACCTAGAACAGTGCCTTGGAAGTAGCAAGCCTTAAATCTTTGTTGAATGAATAAAAGTTAAGCTATGCACCTGATCCTGGCCAGACGGCCCTTCAGACTCCAGACTTGAGTCCTTTCAGCGCCTCCTACTGGGACTGGATTAGCTGCATCTCAGAGGGCACTTTATTTCCTACATTTCTAAGTCACAGGGGTGGGGGTAACTGGGGCATTCACTGTTGACCTCCAGCACCCGAAGAGGTGAGCTCCTGACGGGGGTTGGTTCTCATTCTAGGAGTTAGAACTCATACAAGGCCAACGTCCTTTTTCACAACCCATAAGGATGATTCTGCTATAGTTTTAGGTAACGCAAATATTTCCTCTCTTGGGTTTTGGCTGAAAAATAAAGAGGTCTGCCAACAGACAGCAAAAATCAAGAAAAGTAAACATACAATGCCAGGTTCAATCAGACATGAATCAATGGGAATACACATGGATAAACCCTGAAATAGAAACACGGCACCATAGTTTAACTGACACATATATATACTGAAGGACTCCAGAATGTCTCTCCCACCCCTAAAGTGCTGAACACTGCAGGGAGCTGTAACTGAGTCAGGAGCTATTTTAATCTCCCTTGTAAAAAAGACGTAAAAATGGCAAAGAACTGGACAGAATGCTAGTCAAGAATTTGTAACTATTCATGGATGAGATGGAATTCACACGTATTTTTATTTCTTCCAAGCAGGTACAGAGACTCAAATGTAACCCTTTGAGCTCTCATGCTTGAGGATGTGCTGCTACCTGGCCTTTGAGCTCTGTGCTGGCATAAAGCCCAAGGCCTGGGCAGGGCAGATGATCAAAGTAGGGAGAATTTTAACACCAGTCATGGGACACAGTGGGGAGCACAAACAGTAGGGTTTACCAGGCAATGCTGTTGATGTTGATAGTCCTAGCAAGGCTGGCAGTTCCAGGAGGAGGACCAGCACCTCCAGGACGTATGACTTCCCCCCCTACCCATGGGTGATGTGATCCTTCACATAACCATTCTGCTCCAAGGTCTGCCTTGTTCTCAAGTGCTATACGCTGATTCGCACCCATCACAATCACACACGTCTCACACAGACTCCAGACCCTGCAGCGCCCAACTGAGTACTCACTCACGCAAGGTGAGGCTCCTTGGCGGTGCCATCTTTATTATTCCCAGCCACAAGTTATAGCCACAACCTCTCTTCCATTTAAAGTGTGCGTCACCCGCAGAAGACAACAGGTGCCGGAGTTCACTCCTATGATTCAATTCTACCCTCCCCTGGCCTTTGCACGGATCCCAGTGGTCCTGGCTCGGATCAGGCCTACAGCTTACTTCCCAGGCATGCTTCCAGGAAGGCAGTTGGGGTGGGGGGTACCCCTTTATGGCTCTTCCCAGGTTACATGAGAACTGGTGATCTCGGTGGGGTCTCAAGTAGAAGCCCTGAATTAGTGTTCATTAACAAACTTAATCCTTTGTCCTAAACCAGGCTCTAGCTCAATTCAAAGATAAAGGGGGGTTAAACATTAAGAAAAATGGCATTTTTTTTCCACATCACTGATACCCCAAGAGAAGTTAATAGGTCTACCTTGTAGATGCAGGGAAATCAAAAGGTCAAACTATAATTTTTTATAAAAACTAATTTTTTTTTACGCTTAATTTTTTTCTTTTTTTTTTTTGAGACAAGGTCTTGCTTTGTTGCCCAGGCTGGAGTGTAGTGGCACGATCTTGGCTCACTACAACCTCCACCTCCCAGGCTCAAGTGAACCTTCCACCTCAGCCTTACCAATAGCAGGTACTACAGGCATGGGCCACCATGCCTGGCTAATTTTTGTATTCTCTGTAGAGACGGGGTTTCGTCATGTTGCCCAGGCTGCTCTCGAACTCCTGGGCTCAAGTGATCTGCCCCCCTCGGCCTCCCAAAGTGCTGGGATTATAGGTATGAGCCACAGCACCCAGCCCAAACTACAAATTTTAATAGAATTTTAAACCCAACCACTGGCCAAAAATCACTCGGTCACGAATTCCTAATCCACAATCACATCAGTAGGAAGGGAAAGCACTCATTCTAACACAGATCCAAGAACCAATGGCTACCCCGGGTACCTTAACAGCATCAACTCAGAACTTAAAAAATCAACTAGAGATCATCCAAGGAACGTAAGTATAATTCTACAAAAAACCATCTCATCCCCATTGCAGCAGGCCCCAAACTCCAGTGAGGCTTCCATAGGCCATGGAGAATGGGTTTGGCTCTTGTCACAGGGTAGAGCCCCATGATAGGGGTCTGAGGTAGATGAAAACAACAGGGTAGCCAGGGGCATCTATAGAAGATGTTACAGAGCTGCCTGGGCCTCATGACAGTTGCACCTCAGTTACAAATCCCAGACGGCTCTATTTGCTTAAACCAGTTTTTCCAGTGACGCTTACATGCTGACTTTCTTGGTTTCTATAGATGCTTGGTTTCAAAAATAAAACTAAAATAACAAAAATTCCAAATCCCTCAAATGGAACAAATAAATAATAGTAACAATATTTACATAAGTATGTCACATTGAGAGATTCCAGCATGACCAAGGAATGGAAAATCCAAGAATGTGCCCTGGCCTGTGTGGGGCTCAGGCCTGGCTCATCGTCAGGTGTGAAGACACCATGGGGAGCCGATGGATGTATGCAGTGAGCTGGGATGGACCATGACACCTGGCTGGGCTTTAAGTCCAGGGAAGCAGTGTGTGCACGAGCTGTGGGGCCGTCTATAGATTAGGTTTCAAGCAAGCAAACAATAAAACCCTCAGCTCTCCCGAGCAGCGTGGCACAGTCAGGGTCACTGGTGTGAGCTGCACCCTATCAGAGGAGAAGCTGCTCCTGGGGATGCCAAGAGGGCTTCTCTGATTGCTGGCATAGGTGGGGACCTCAGGACCCCCGTCCCAGGGAGCACAAAACTCTTTATACATCAGCTGGAGACAGGACAAGGAGTCAAGGTCAGGCATGGTCCCCTCTTTCTTTGGACTATGTGACAAGGGGGATGTGGAATTCATTTGTGTCGAAGATCAGGGGCCTCTTGGGAGGGTTCGGGTCCCTGTCAGCCTTGTGAAGCAGCTTGAAGAGCCCGGTTCCAATGTTCATTGGGATTCCCATGATGATGCACTCAGACACCCCTGAAACCAACCAGAATGAACATCAGAGAGCCTCTAAACACAAGGTACATTTTCACGAAGAAAGACTATTGGCTTAAGTGTCAGAAAATTAGGATGTGAGTCCCAGCGCCACTCCACATCAACTGAACTTTGGCAAATCCCTTTCCTTCCCATCTAAAAAGGGTGGCTGTGGAGTGCAGACAGGGGGATTCTGCACTTTCAGGGAAGGGCAGGGCTTGCTCACAGCCCAGGAGCTTGTTGGAGACAGAGTCAGCTCCTCCAGTTCTCCTCTCCCACCTGAGCCAAAGGCACCCTGGGAGGGCCCTGCCTTTGAGAACACAACTTAGCAAGAATACTGAAGGATGCTTAGGAAACTCTAAGTTTGCCACCCAGTGCTTCCTTAACTTAGAGCCTCCAAGAAAAGCAAACAACTGGGACAGTAGTGAGCAGAATACAATCCCCTTGGAAACTGCGGTAGGCAGCTGTTAGCTGTGCTCAGGGGAAGGGGCCAGGCCAGGCTTAAGAGCATCTGAGCCTTCATGATCTACAGCCCTGATGAGAAACACCCAGAAGGCAGGGCACCTATAGAGTTACAGGATCAAGGGGGTGGTGCAGATTCTTTCTCCAAGCCCCATGTCAACCTGGCATAAGGCTTGAGTCTACGATGAGCAAGCAAATGGCTACTGTGTTGTAGACTTTGTGCTACCAAGGAACCGGAGAGGCAAACAACTAAATTAAAGACCAACATGCAATGAGGGCGAACACTGGGTTACAATGTGCTGAAGGACCAGGAGGAGGGGAAAACTTCAAATTGGGGGTGGGGTGGCAGTGCCAGGCAGTCAAGGAGACTGGTGGTGGAGAAAGGTGCTGGTGTATGGGGCCGCAGAGCTGCGGCAAAGGCCCGGTTTCCAGGTGTCAGGCTTGAGTGCTGGGTCTCAGCCCTATTGTCAGGCAGACTTGCTCTTCTCTTGGCCTTGGGCTTTCTTCCAGTCTTCTGTGTACCTCCCTCTGGCCCCATTCTAACTGCTGCTCCTTTTCTTTTCCCTTCATGCTAGTTTTTTTTTTTTTTTTTTGAGACGGAGTCCTGCTCTGTTGCTCAGGCTAGAGTGCAGTGGTGCAATCTCGGCTCACTGCAACCTCTGCCTCCCAGGTTCAAGAGATTCTCCTGCCTCAGCCTCCCGAGTAGCTGGGATTACAGGTGCCTGCCACCGTGCCCAGCTAATTTTTATATTTTTTTTAGTAGAGACGGGGTCTCACCATCTTGGCCAGGTTGGTCTTGAACTCCTGACCTCGTGATCCACCCGCCTTGGCCTCCCAAAGTGCTGGGATTACAGGCGTGAGCCACCGCGCCCGGCCCACGCTTGTTTTTTGATTTTAAAAATATTTAAATAGACACGAGTTCTCATTATGTTGCCCAGCCTGGCCTCAAACTCCTGGGCTCAAGTGATCGTCCTGCCTCAGCCTCCCGAGTAGCTGGGACAATAGCAACACCATGCCCGCTCTCACCCTTCTTTATCTTAAAGACTTATGTAATATTTATTTCCCTCCATCTCCAATCCCTGTCCCTTCTGAAAAGAGAAACAGTTAATCTTAGAGGCAAAAAATGGGTATATACTCTAATGATGCCAATCTGTACAAGAGCAGGAGGTGAGAGAGCAAAGGGCTACTGGGAAGCAGAGCTCTGGCCTGGAAACAGCAGCCAGACTTGGAATCCCTGTGTGGGCCTGACTGGTGTGTGCCCCGGGGCAGGTTGCTGGCCCTCTCGAACCCCAGCCCCTTACCAGCTCTCACCCCAAGCCTGCAGGGTCTTCCTGCGGAATCAGAAAGGCTCGAGCAAAGCTCAGCAGTCAGTGCTGGTCTCACGGAAGAGGCAGGGAAGCCAGACACTGGGGAGAGTTCCCCTCGTGCTCCCTCTCCCCCAGGCCAGCACAGCCCCATAAAGCCATGTTTTGTCGAGTGGCGGGGATGAGGCATGGTGCAGAGCAAGGCTCTGCTGGTGGACTCGACAGCAAGCGAGGTCACCTTGGTCTTCTGACTTGTCAAAGGGCTTAATATCCACACCCCACGGGTGGGTAGAGATACTTGACACATATGATGCCTGGCACAGGGGCTCAGCAGGCATTGATGGCCACCTCCCAAGGACAGTAGGACACTCTGCTCTGCCCAGCGCCCAGCCAGTACCTGCTCCTGTCAGCCCTGGTGTCACACACAGGGGTCAGGATCAGTGTGGCTGACTACAAAGTCAAGGGCTAGAAAAATTCTTACATGCCCAGGGTTGCTCTTTGCTTCGTGGACCAAAAACCATCTGTGCTGACAGAGGGAAGTCATCCAACAGATGTAAACGGGGATGCAGGATGCTACAGTCAGGATTTGGAGATAAAAGATCCAGCAGTTCCAATTCGTGTCTATTGACATTATTCTTGAAAAAATAAACGCTCTGCCACTCAGTTTTTTTCATTCCCTTGGAAGCCTAGCCATGGTCTATTTGTAAATAGTAAAGGCCTTTGATGCTGTTCATAGAAACATCAAACCTACCACACACAGAGTCCTTCTGCCCGAAGTAGGCAGCGTCAAAGAGATGGTCAGCCGTCTTCTCAAAGGAGGCCAGCATCAGCACACTCTCCTTCATCTTGGCCAGGCCAAACCTAGTGATGCCCAGGACTTCACCCTGCGTCAAGGGAGAAAGAGTCACGGTGGTACTCACACCAATGGCAAAAGCTCGAAACCAAAGCACGGTGCACCTTCAATACAATCAACAAAAATCCTCCAAGACCCAACGTCAGGTGTGAAAGGCCCTGAGGAGCTATGGGTCCGCCCTCTGTGTCCCATTGAGGTGGTCAATCGTCGGCAACATGAAACTTCACACTCGCATCCAGACGCCATCAGAACAAAGAAGAATTGAGAACTAGAATTCAGAGACTAACTTTAAAAAAGGGGAGTATTTCTGAAGAGATTTCTTATGGCTCAAAGAACTAAAAATAAAAGAATGTAAAAACCTCAAGTATGAAGAGAATTAATTAAATTTAGGTAATTCTACTCAAAGGAATATTGTGCCATAATTTAAAAAGTATATTTATTAAAACCATGAAACAAGATGGAAAACATTTGTGATGTTAAACAAAAAGTCACAACAAAAACTGCATGCACACAGTTTCCTGCGACTAAAGCAAAAGATGCATAAAGAATAGGACTTCACAGAAGACATCGAACCGACAGCCTCAGGGTGGTAGGAAATGGGCCATTTCCCTCACCTGGTTTCTAAATAGTCTGTAATACTCTATCGACTTGTTTGGGGAAGCCTTATGAAAACCTGCTGCCCTAAGGCACAGCTAGAGGGAAATACGTTTTTTTTGGAAAAGAGAGAAAAAAAAAATCAAACCAACCAACCCACCTCAGCCTCCCGCCCCCAACTTCAGATCATGTTAACTTATTTTTTCCTGGGAATGGCTACAGAAGAGTGATGGATGGGTTTAATAAGAAAGAAACACCTCAACTTGCCATGGGACTCTCTGGGCTTTGGCAGTGGCTAATTTTGCTTTAGGATGACATTCAGGATGAGGACGGAACCAAGCTCCAGCTCTCTTCACTCCACCGACTGGGTATGAGTTTGCCATGAGGCTGTAACTCTCATACTGGGATTTCACCAGGACACTCAGCCTGACCAGCATACTTTGGTTTTTGAGCAATGTTCACATCTTATTTTCTCTCTATGATGGTCCTCACAGCAGCGTATTCTACATGTCTTAGAAACTCCACAGGCTTATTCTCCTGAAAGTGAGTTTCGGGATGCCCAGGCAGCCCGGGGGCCTCCTGCCCACATACCTTGTAGGTCATGAGGTCGGAGAGCAGCATCACGTGCCTCCTGTCGATGCTCATGCCGTGGTTCACCATGGTGTACTGGATTTCATTGATGATCGTTGTCCGGGCGGCCTCGATGCCCAGAGTTTTCTCCACCTACAGAGAGCCAGTAATGAGCAGAAGCAGCCCCTTCCGGGAGGCCACTGCAAATTCTCTCCACTTTCTCCTCTGCCCTGCAGTTTCAAAGCAAACCCTGTGCCGTTTTCCAGAAATGGATTGCTGGGCAATTTTCAGTTGCAGACCCACGGCAAATGGGATGGTCAGAGAAGTATGCTGGGAGGCCGGGCACAGTGGCTCATGCCTGTAATCCCAGCACTTTGGGAGGCCGAGGCGGGCGGATCATGAGGTCAGGAGATCGAGACCATCCTGGCTAACATGGTGAAACCCCATTTCTACTAAAAATACAAAAAAAAAAAAAAAAAAAAATTAGCCGGGCGTGGTGGTGGGTGCCTGTAGTCCCAGCTACTCGGGAGGCTGAGGCAGGAGAATGGCGTGAACCCGGGAGGCAGAGCTTGCAGTGAGCAGAGATCACGCCACTGCACTCCAGCCTGGGCAACAGAGCAAGACTCCATCTCAAAAAAAAAAAAAAAAAAAAAAAAAAAAGAAGTATACTGGGAATCAGTGGAAGGCCTGCAGATGGCACAAGGAAGACAGCCTAACCCTAAGGCGACCCCGTGGGCTGAGTGGTACCTCATAGGTGTTATTGGAGGTGGTTCGGGTGCCCTTCACACCGTGTGTGGCCATGACTGCCCGCAGGTTATCACCTTCCACCAGAAGCTTGTACTTCTCCTTTCCACTCTGCTCGTCAATGTGGATGACAGCTCTGGACACCTCTGGAATGCCCTGCACCACCACCTGGATTCAGAGACAGAGAAAGCTGTGAGGACGGGGTGAGCCATGCCCTGGGCTGATCACCTTGATCACCCCAGCTTTCAGCAGTGGTCATCTGTTAACACACTAGAGCTAGTTTTAGGGATAAGGGAGAACAGAAGTTGTTCAGGGGACTGCACCTCATCCTAACATCAGTTTTTTGATAGAACAGAGAGGAATCTAACAGACTAACTCCTTGGGGATAAGGCCAAGAAGAAATTAAGAAATCGGACTAAGTGACAAAGCCCTTAGGTCCCAGCCCTGGGTGTCACACCACAGGGAGATGCTGGGTCTCCATGAGAAGCGACTTCTGTTTCACCTTGGGGAGATCCTCTTTCAGGAACTGCAGCACGTAGTACATGGAGCTCTTGCTGTTCTCTCTGGGGGTGACACACACCACAGCCTCACCATGAACAGCCACATCACCGGGCTTCACACGGAGCTTGGATGTGCAGATGGAATATCTCACTGTCTCAGCGTTCACCTGCAACATGGCCAGGTGTAGGTGTTACTGATTCCAGTGTTGTTCTTCGTTTATTTCATTGTTGCCCCTCTAAGAAGTCCTTTTAGTCAGGTTTGTTCTAAGCACCCCCCACCCGCACCATGAAATTAATACCATAAATATGCTACATATGTTTTATGTACTATATGTGTATATATATCTATGCTTTATTCATAAAAAGAGTAGTTTTTTTCACCCACGACAAAATATTTGCCCTTGAAAATTCATGCTCAGTTCATGGCAACACACGCAGCCTCTGTGGGAAGCTCTAGGGAGGCTGGAGGTTGGAGGCCAGGCTAATTAAAAGCTTCCGTGGGGCCTCCCCTTTACCTGACACTTTCACAATGGTTCATGTGCTACGTTCCTGGATACAACTCATCTCTTCTGCAAAGGAGCCACAAGGCAGGCAGCAAGAGACAGGCTAGAGAAATCCCCAAACTGGAGAGCAGGTTGCTGCATTTGAGTCAACTGTTATATGGGTAACATATGAACTTGATGCGTGAGAGAACGAGCTGACAGAATGTGTTTTAAGGGCTAGTACAGCTTTAACTACCCGAGAGAAAGAAGAGGGTGTCGGGAAGTTACTCAGTTTGTACCCCAAGTTGGTCTGTTTGTGAGAAAGGCTGATCATCTTTCAACTGTTGCCTATTACCCATGCATGCCAGTTTAAGAAGCCAGGTTAATCTCCCCATCTAAACACATTTACTGAACTTCCTAGGCTAGCTGCCATGCTGGGCGCTGGGGATCCACAGATGAGTAAGACACAGCCAGCCCTAGGGTCCTTCCAGACACTGGGAAGAGGGACAACAAGACCACTTATCATAATACCGTGTCACAGTGAACTGGTATTGCGGTCTGCACAAAATTTCAACTAATTTTCTGTGTGTCTTTAGATGGGTATATTTGTATCAAGGTCAGGTTTAGAAAGAAAATGTGAGGGGACAACAGAATCACAAAAACCAGAAACCACACAGAAGGTTCTGCAATGCTTCCTCTGTCTTGCTTAGCTCTTGCCCTAGTTTATCAGTACCTATCTTGGGACTAACAGGATGACTTCCTCTCTACATTTAATTATGTGACTCACTTCCAGTCTCAGAAGCCTAATCCGTTCCAGGGAGAGCTTGACGAGAATAAAGCAGTCATCAGGAAGAAACACTTCTTCAATATACTCGGAAATCTGGAGTGTCAAAAGATCAGACTGTTAATCAGCCGCTTTCCCCTTTCCTAAGAGCACACGACTGCTTGCTTTTTTGAAGAGCTTGAGTAGTGTGGACGCCACAGGCTGGTCAATAGATGGCAGCTGATTTTTACACTTCCTTGCAACATTGCTGAGCTAGTTTTCTTGTTATCAATAGGGATTTCTTCTTACCTCTCCCAAGAGGGTTTTCTCAATTCTCCCTTTCACGAGGCGAGCATAATCCGCGTCGTCATCCTTGTCTAGCTGTGCTGTGATAATTGGAGTGCTGTTGAGAAGCAAAGGAAAAATGGCACTAGCACAAGGGAGGAGGCTGTTTGAGGACTACTGCTTTGTTAAACCCAAGTGCTATTTAGAATCATAATGTTACTAGCAACCCCAGTTTACTGAGCAAGCTCTGCCTCCCAGGTTCATGCCATTCTCCTGCCTCAGCCTCTGGAGTAGCTGGGACTACAGGCGCTCGCCACCACGCCCAGCTAATTTTTTGTATTTTTAGTAGAGACGGGGTTTCACCATGTTAGCCAGGATGTCTTGATCTCCTGACCTCGTGATCTGCCCGCCTCAGCCTCCCAAAGTGCTGGGATTACAGGCGTGAGCCATTGCGCCCAGCCGACTATCTTTCATTCAATGCTACGTATTATCATTTTGTTAAATATAGGTCATAGGTAAAAATCATTATTTTTGTCATCGAAGGCATTGTAATACATTTCTATTTCTTCTAGCCTTAGATCAACTAGAAATCCCATCATGAAATCACCAGGGGCTCACAGAATATGACCACAGGGCAAGTGGCAGACATTTCAGTCAGGCCTAGTTAGGCTGGAATAATGACATCAAAAGGATGAAATCTCCACTGACACATTGCTCCAATTTTTCCAGTCATTTTAAACATTTTCTCTCTTCATGTTACTTGTGGCCATAACAAAACCATTGCTTCTATTTTGACTGTATCCAGTTTAGACTTTTTCTTGAGTGGCTTTTTTAAAAACCAAAATAGGATTAACACAGCAAGCATGCCACCCAGAGTTTAAGACACAGTCCTATGAGGATATCACACATATGCATGTGACACGGGGATCATTGTTTCTCAGGAAACAGGACAGGCATGTGTGGAACAAGAAGGAAATGAAAGCAGGCACCTGATGGCCTTGGAAGCGTTGATGATCTCTTTAATCCGGGGCACGCCCAGGGTGATGTTCATGGAGGCCACACCTGCAAAGTGGAAAGTCTTCAGGGTCATCTGGGTGCCTGGCTCACCAATGCTCTGGGCACACAGAGCACCCACTGCAGAACCTGGCTCCATCTGTGCCCTAGAAGGCAAAGGTATGGATGAGATTGCAGCATGCCAAAGAAAAGTCCAGCAAAACTGCTGGGGAGAGGCTTCTGGTTATCACCTTTCAACAGAGAATATAGATGCTATTAGGGTCGGAAAGGGTATGTCTGTGACAGAGAAAAAGCCTGGCATAGACCAGAAATAGGTACAGACAGGGGAAAGTAAAGGTCAGAGAGGGGGCAGCAGTGCAACTCAATTCTGCATGGCTGCTTGTGGTCAGCATGTAATGGATGCAGAAAATCTAAGCAGTCTGCTAACCAATGGTACTGATGGCAAACAGAGCAGTGGCATCTGCCATATTCGTTAGCAGTTTCCCCATGGGGAGAAGACACTAAGAAATTTCCTTGCAATTATTTCCGTTATCTTGGAGCATTCAGACTGGCAATTCATCAGACCCCCTACAGAAAATGTGACAGAATCTGATCAAATACTGGCAGTTAACAAGTGAGCTGGTGCAGGGTTTTGTACACATGGGGAAACAGAAGGGATACGTGAGACCTATGTGGATGACCGTCAGTCCAAGACAAAAGCATCCCTACCTCATGTACTTGTCCCTACAGGTCTCCAGAAACTTTTCTACTTGGGTGGGGGTGATGCGGTCCAGCTGGTACAGCACACGGGGCTGGGAGAATACAAGCCAAGCACAGAGTTAGGGCCAGCGGCAACTACAAACAGCTCGGGGTTCTAACGCGTCTTGGAGGGATATTACCTCTGTTGTGCCGTTATCATTGATGCCATATTTATCTCTGGTTTTCTTGATCTTCTCAGAGACCCCCTTAATGAATTTTTTTATTTCCTGAAAGATTACACAGCAAACATCATTTGTAAGTTTCACAGTCATGCAGATGACATAATTCATTTCATAAACCTCAGTTGTATATGACAAGTCCATCATATTTTAGTGTTAGCTCCATATATAGTATAAAGGACCCAATCTGGATACTGCTTCTACTACAAAGTGGTTTTCCAAGGAACACACCACACTGTCCATACCCCAGACACACACTCCATTGGTTAATGTGTCTCTAAGACCTTCTCCTCCAACTGCTCTCATGGCACTATCTACAGAGCCCACAAAGTGCGTGGGAGCCTTTGTTCTTGCTCTCCCACGTGCCACGAGGGCTATAAGAACACAGCTCAAGACAGGTACGACTGAAGCATTTATACTGTTCTTCTACAGATTAATTTTTGAGGGTTTCTTCTGAAGGTATTATGCTCAGTTTAAATACTACCAACTAAAGCATAGCTTTGTTGACAGTAAATGCATTTCAAACACACTTTGAGCTTACCTTCATTTCAAAGAAAACACTCCCCAAACCCAGCTTATCTTTTCCCCTCTGGTAACCACCTCTCCCCACAGGCCTAGGCCTACACTGTCTTCCCACACACAATTAGAAGTCTGTAAGGATTCCTGGAAACCATTGTCAAAGCCAGATGTGAAGCATCAGTATATGCTGCGATTCCCACTGTATTTAAGAACAGCACTCTCAGCCCCGGGAGGATGACCAAGTAGAGCAAGAAGAAGGTGAAAAATACACAGGTGGAAGATCAGAGCAGGGCTAGAGACTACAGCCCTGACTCAGGTTTTCTGGCAACCACTCAAATGGGTAAAACTATCTGTTTTAGGATTTACAGTGTGTCTGTGAAATAGACCCAGCCCACCACCACTCCTAAAGCCAGGATCAGCCAGCACCTTCCCCTGGAGAGTGCTCACAGGGAAGGAGCACTTACAGAGGAGCGGTTAACATCCTGCTCACAGTGGGTCAATCATCACGGACTACAGACTGGCTCTTAAAGCAATTCTCAGGGTGAGCTGATGGCACCTGCCATGTAGTAGCAACCATCCTCCAGAGGCCATTATCCTGCCATCCCGGGAGCTGGCATCGGCTGCTCTGGTGTGGCCTAGGGATGATATAGTCTCTGAGAATATGGGGAAGAGGAGATAGACTGCCCCTCCTTTGTAGCAGCAAGGAAATCACAGTGGCGGTAAGCTTGAATGGCACTCTGGCCAAATGCAGGCATTCAGCTGCTCTGTGTGTCTGGATGAGTACAGATGCCCACACATGGAGGACAAGCAGCTTGAGGGCAGACTGCGTACTGTGGTGGCCGAGAAGCCTCATGAGGTTCTGTTTCTTGATTCTGGGGTAGGCTGAGGGTCCCCCAGAGAGAAGGCCAGCATGCCCTGCCCAAAGTCCACTCAGCCTATTACATGGCTGAAAATGCCTAAGCCTGAACCAGGAGCCCATTTCTGCAAAAATAAAATCCTATAAGGTATCCACAGACAGCTTAAGACTTCCTAGCCCCATTCTATCCTAACCTTGCAAAAAGAAATCTCATTAGCCTCCTAACTAGCCATTTCTAGTTACTACCCTTTCTACAAGCAAACTGCTAGAACTTTATGTTCCTGTTAAAATAGCCTTAGCATCTGTGTCCACATGGTCTTATGCCTTTCCCAGCCAGCTGCTGCCCAGCTTGGCAAGACCTCACTGTGAGGTGGCATGGCTTTAGCCCCACCACCCTAGAGCAGAAGGCACTGAAGGCCTGAATGAGGTCAGCGCTTGGCCAAGGCAACCAACCACTCCACGAAGTCAGATGCTTTCTTCAAAGTCTTTTCTCTGAACAGGGGTTTCTTCGATGTAATCTTTGCCTACTGGGAAATTCCGTCTGTCTCCCAGGAGCCCAGGCAGCCAAGGGGCTACCTCGGGGGCCCAACACATCCTGGCTGTCAGTTCCCATGAATACTGCTTTCTCATGACTCTCTGTGTTGGCCCACTCTCTTTCTTCCCACTGAGAAAGTGCAGAGGCCCACGGAGGGTGACCCTGCAGCCCAATCATTGTTCTACATAGAAAGGGCTTTTTATTTAAGAAGTTTTACCAGCTGGGTGCGGTAGCTCATGCCTGTAATCCCAGCACTTTGGGAGGCTGAGGCAGGTGGATCACCTGAGGTCAGGAGTTGGAGACCAGCCTGGCCAACAAGGTGAAACCCCGTCTCTACTAAAAATACAAAAATTAGCTGGGCATGGTGGCACGCACCTGTAGTCCCAGCTATTTGGGAGGCTGAGGCAGGAGAATCACTTGAACCCAGGAGGCAGAGGTTGCAGTGAGCCGAGATTGTGAGACTCTGTCTCAGGAAAAAAAAAACAAAAAAACTTTTATTAATTCGCAAGAACTTTAGAGTTCTCAAGAAACTCTTTTTAAAGAGAAACTCTCCTGATTCCTTGTTATTAATGATGAGTCTGACACTGTGTTTTCAGATACAGTTACCTTTTGCAAACCAGAGATGAAAAATAAAGCTGTAGAGGGCAGTGGGACAACCTCTTCTGGCATGGCTCTAACAGAATATTCAAAGGCATTTGCACTTGCTGCCACTGAATTTTTCCTCTATATATTCAGTATAAGAGGGGGCTTTGCCTGGCAGTGGCTGGGTCCTTTTGAGAAAGGTCCCGAAAGCCCTCTTGGCCCAGATGTTGCCATTTGATCACCAGTTGTTAAAAGCTGCCTTACCTGTTGGCACAGGAAAAACAGGAGCAGAACCTAAGGCCAAGCCTTAGACCCAGAAGGTTTTCATCTGCAAGGGACTGTGCACACATAGGGAGTAAAATTAACACACCTAAAACAATCTGCCGGCTTAGGCACTGGGAATGACATAGCTCAGCTTTCACCCCAATGGACACATTTCCCGTGGGTTTGCTGAATGACTTTCCCTACACAAAGGTTCTGGAAATTAGGTTTAAAAATAAAAAAAGAAAAACAGCTCACTTTTTGGAAATGAAAACTGAAACAATCTGCTAAAAATTCACACTGAGTCAACCCATGCATACTAGAGGGAACGAACTCACAACATGGCTATTGGCAGGCAATTCATCACACGATTAACCAGAAGTTAGTGTCTCATGCTCCACAGCAGGCCTATGAGCACGGGCATTCTCCTCTGGCAGGGACCTGGGCTCAATGCCACTCAGGAGTGCCTCTGTCACCTCAGCTCTGATACGGGCTAGGGCTGGAGAACATTTCACGGGCTCAGACACATCTGTTCTGGCCAGTGGATTTTGGACCCTCTCAGCAAATCTGAGCTCATCGGATTGTGAGCTGCCGGTGGCAAGGACATGTTTAGTCATCCTTGCATCCCCAGGATCTGTGGACTGTGTGACATATGGTGAGGGCTAAACCAGTGCTCACTGAATAAACAAATGCTGCCGGGTAGGAGGTCACCTGTGTTAAACCTTTTCAAGGGCAAGAAAGGAACCAGTCCAAAGCAAAGCAGTGTTTGCCAGAACCGGGACAGAAACCTGCTCTCTCTGGCGCTGGCAAATGCTGGGGTGCTGCTGGAGTGGGCCCTTTCTGTTGGCGTTCACAGCATGCTAAGTACGTTACCTCGTTATAGCTTTCATAACCTGTCTCAGTTAAGGTCTTTGAGGACAAACAGATAAATACGTAAACATGAGCGTGAAGAAAAACCAAATTACAACTCTAATTTGTTAGTTAAAAAAAAAGAATAAGAAAGCCTTTGGAGGAGAAAAACAGACAAAGGCACCCAGCCTTGCCACACTCTTGATTTTAAAATCTGGAAGAGTCTCTTTTTCACCTTTCACACCTTGACACATGAACACAAGAAGCGAGGAGCTTCC
Source organism: Homo sapiens (assembly GCF_000001405.40). Classification (NCBI taxonomy): domain Eukaryota; kingdom Metazoa; phylum Chordata; class Mammalia; order Primates; family Hominidae; genus Homo; species Homo sapiens. Next base: position 77,989,992 of record NC_000010.11, read on the forward strand.
TTAACACAAATATTCTTATTTAAGCTTCACTCGCTGTTTTTATTTTTGATCTACGGAAAGAGATACATTCTTCTTTGGCCTGCTGATCTTGTGCTACATTTGAATTACTATTTAGTACACAAAGGAAACCATTTACTGATTTCTGTATCCCTTTGCTTTTGATCCTAACCATGATTATAAACATGAAGGAGCTGCCTGAGCAGGTCAGAACCATAAAAAAAAAACAAAAAACAAACGAACCAAAAAACCTTAAGAGGGTATCAAAGTAACAGCTCCCTGGAAGAATAGAAAAGGCTGATTCAATGGATTTTTGATCCACAATACAGCAAAAGAAAGAGCAGTTTAAAATAAATGGTATCAAAACAAGACTACTAGTACTAATAATTATTGGGATTCAGAATGATTGAGGGAAGAGTTGGCTCACAAGATAGAGTAGGTAGTAGGCTGGTGTTAGGGACAGCGCTCAAACAAAATCAGCATTTTTCTTCTAACAGGGGAAAAAAACATTTTTCTTCTAATAGGGAAATGGCTTGAGTGAAAGACATAAACTAAGAAAGTCATGAGATAAATTCTGCTTGTTGGCTGGTGAGATTTTGCCTTGGCCATTTTTGAATGACTGCCTGTCATTTTTTTTTTTTTTTTTGAGATGGAGTCTTGCTCTGTTGCCCAGGCTGAAGTGCAGTGGTGCCATCCCGGTGTACTGCAACCTCCGCCTCTCAGGTTCAAGCGATTCTCCTGCCTCAGCCTCCCGAGCTGGGATTACAGGTGCCCGCCACCACGCCCGGCTAATTTTTGTATTTTTAGTAGAGACAGGGTCTCATCGTGTTGGCCAATCTGGTTTTGAACTCCTGACCTCAAGTGATCCACCTGCCTCGGCCTCCCAAAGTGCTGGGATTACAGGCATGAGCCACCATGCCTGGCCCATTCTTGAACTTTCTAACAAAGGAACAACCCTACCTTAAAAAACAACCAGCTTATAAAATCCACTTGCCAGCCCTTGGCAAACAGAGTTCTTTACGACAGCCAGGCTGGGTGCAGTAGCCAGCACCTGGCAGAGCTCACCTGCAGGAAGCTGTCCTGGCAGCAGAGGAACTCACTCTTCTTCATGATGGACTCTGTGGTCAGGATCAGCTCGTTTTTGCTGAGAGCAGGCTCACTGGGACACGGGAAGACTGCCTTGAGTATTAAAAGAAAATTGCATTATGTGTGGGTGCCACAGAGAGCAGGCGGTAGTAGATGAGAGAACTTACAAAGGATAAAATGACCTTACCCAAGGTGAGCTTTTAGCAACCTGTGATTTTTCTTTCAAAACAAATTGTGGACTCTACCTTTCATGTGAAGGTGAAAACTGGATAAATGGATACTCCATCCTATGCAAAAATTTCTGGGCTATTCAGCAGGTGTTGTCCCATCACTTCCCAGCCTTCGCCACCCCACTGCCCCCCACCAGATTTACATTAAAAATATAAGCTGTTATTTAAAAAACTCAAACATTTCAAGAGTGAAAATATTCTCCCACTTCTGAAGCTCATAAATTTCTCTTTTTTTTGAGATGGAGTCTTGCTGGATTGCCAAGGCTGGAGTGCAATGGCGCCATCTCGGCTCACTGCAACCTCTGCCTCCCAGGTTCAAGTGATTCTCTTGCCTCAGCCTCCCGAGTAGCTGGGACTACAGGCATGCGCCACCACGTACGATTAATTTTTTTGTATTTTTAGTAGAGACGGGGTTTCACCATGTTGGCCAGGCTGGTTTCAAACTCCTGACCTCAAGTGATATGACCGCCTCAGCCTCCCAAAGGACTAGGATTACAAGCGTGAGCCCCAGCAGAATTTCCTCTTTTTTCCTCTCCTCTGCTTTGTCCAAGTTGACTCAATGTTTTAATGGCTGCATTATTATTCTTTTGTATAGACAGACCATCATGTATTTGAACTATCCTCTACTGATGGTTTGCCTTTACTGTAAGCAGCGTAGAAAAAACATTCTTGGCATAGTTAGACCATTTCTAGAGGACAAAAGGAGTTTCTGTAAGGGAAACTACTGGGTCAAAAGGGACACGTATTTAAAACTCAGAATGGTATTGTCCAGCTACTCTCCAAAAAGGTTGTTCCAAGTTATATTCTCAAAGTATGTGAAGTGTGCCTGCTTTTCAATGCCCATGACTTATAAAACTGGTCTCTAGTATGCTCTACTTGACACAGAGCGAAACCAAACAAAGCCCTCTTCTGTTGGCATTTGATTACTACCAACACTAGACTTTCAACTGAAAACAACTTTTTTTTTCATCTTTTTTTTTTTTTTAAGACAGGGTCTTGGTCTGTCACCCAGGCTGGAATGTAGTGGTAAGATCAGCTCACTGTGGCCTCAAATTCCTGGGCTTAAGGATTCACCTGCCCCAGCCTCCTGAGTAGCTGGAACTTTAGGAGCATGCCATCATCCCTGGCTAATTCTTTTTTTTTTTTTTTTTTTTTTTGAGATGGAATCTCGCTCTGTTGCCAGGTTGGAGTGCAGTGGTGTGATCTCAGTTCATTGCAACCTCCAACTCCCTGGTTCAAGTGATTCTCCTGCCTCAGCCTCCCAAGTAGCTGGGATTATAGGCACGTACCACCACACCCAGCTAATTTTTGTATCTTTAGTAGAGATGGGGTTTCACCATGTTGGCCAGGATGGTCTCGATCTCTTGATCTTGTGATCTGCCCGATGTCTGGCTAATTCTTTAAAAAATATTTTTTTAGAGATAGAGTTTTTCCTCTGTTGCCCAGGCTGACCTCAAACTTCTCGCCTCAAGTGATTCTCCTGCCTTGGCCTCCCAAATTGCTAGGATTCTAGGTGTAAGCCACTGCACTTGGCCTTTTTCCTTTAAATATTGGAAAGTAAAAAAAAAAAGCAAAACTTTTTTCTTTTTTTTATAGAGACGGGGTCTCACTTTGCTGCCCAGGCTAGTCTTAAACTCCTGGCCTCAAGTGATCCTCCTGCCTTGGCCTCCCAAAGTGCTGTGATCACAGGCATAAGCCATTGTGCCTGGCCCTTCCCTTTTAATATCGGAAAATTATACAGAGTAACACAAAGAAAAAAGATACTAATCCAGTGCTTGGGATTATAAATACTGAAGTATTTATTAACTGCAATTGATAGTCCAAACAGTACTTCCGTCCTAAAGAAACATCCTTAAAAACACTCTAACCCCAGATATAATGCTAAATCTTACTTTGATGTTGTCCAGAACCCTTTTAAACTCCAAAGGTTCATCTTTTCCCTCCATAGCTGCAGGATCTAAGCCATCTCCTCCATAAATGAACTGGATAATATCGCCAGTAGAGCTTCGGACTGTCAGATCATACTGGGAGCAAAGATCTTCAAGAGATTTGACAAGCCTTCGCTAAAGGAAAAGGAGGAAAAAGCTCAGCTGCTTTGAGAAGACTAGTCACATGGGGAGAGGATAAGATTTGCAACTCAAGAGTCTCAAGGTTACAAGCACTTTAATCACATAAAAATACTTTATTAGAAACCCTTTAAAAAGAGTCCTCTCACCCCAAGAACAAGAGCAAGAATGCCTTACTAGCCTGTGCAGTGGGATTTGGAATATGCTCCAACCTCCAACATTTTAGTGTATTTTAGAACACATGCAATTTAAACCGCATCACCCACAAAGGACTCTGCAACTGCTGTTTTCCTAGGCTGTTTTACCTTCCTTCTCTTTCTCCCTAAGGTATAAATTAATGCAATAGCTTTGCATTTCTAAACAGAACTTAAGCCAGGACCCCTGCAGACTTCAATATGAATTACGGAGGATCAGGTGCAGGCCCTCTTCTGGGACAGAGGGGGAAGAAGAGAGAACAGGGACAGTATTGTGTCTGAACCAGCAGGCAGCAATGACTTCTCAAATCTGCTTAGGGAGAACCGTCCACCAGCTGAACACTCCAGCCAGCAATGCTATGGTGGCTCAGTGAATTAAAGAGAAGGAAATCTTCCTCTAGGCAACTTCAAAACAAAAAATCCCTTATGCCAGAACTAATTTAGTTTACATTAACACACTGCTCTGGCAAAGTCATACTCTCTAATTCAAAAAGTAAAGACAAAAAAATTAAGTAAAAACACACATTATGACAAGAGTGGTAAAAGTATTTCACAGTCTATTGGGTTTCTGACAAAAGCAGCATGCTCCCACACTGAAGGGCAATTTCCCATTGAAAGATGATTAATTGTATTCCATGGATGACACACACAAAAAAGACGATTAAAGGTATCAGATGATACACGAGCTACAGGAGAGATGATGGAAATAGGCGTCTACTGACTTGGAAATAGGTGTCCACTGTCACACTAATCACAGTGTTTGTTCTGGCCCACTCATTCACATCTCTGGTTTATCTACCCTGGTTTTCCAGCTTGCAAAGGGCCATGCTTCCATAGTAGGGAGAGAGAAGACACAAAGCCACAGCAAGTTCATGGCCCAGCAACTTGTAGTGTTGACTTTATCTGGTGTTTTAAGTAGTTAAAAACATTACTTAAAAAAAAAAAAAAAGCAGAAGACTCAGTAGCCAATGCGATCAACTGGAAGAAAGGGTATCAGTGATGGAAGACGTAATGAATGAAATGAAGCCAGAAGAGAAGTTTAGAGAAAAAAGAATAAAAAGAAATGAACAAAGCCTTGAAGAAATATGGGACTATGTGAAAAGACCAAATCTACGTCTGATTGGTGTACCTGAAAGTGACGGGGAGAAGGGAACCAAGTTGGAAAACACTCTGCAGGATGTTATCCAGGAGAACTTCCCCAATCTAGCAAGGTGGGCCAACATTCAAATTCAGGAAATACAGAGAACACCACAAAGATACTCCTCGAGAAGAGCAACTCCAAGACACATAATTGTCAGATTCACCAAAGTTGAAATGAAGGAAAAAATGTTAAGGGCAGCCAGAGAGAAAGGTCGGGTTACCCACAAAGGGAAGCCCATCAGACTAACAGCGGATCTCTCGGCAGAAACTCTACAAGCCAGAAGAGAGTGGGGACCAATATTCAACATTCTTAAAGAAAAGAATTTTCAAAACAGAATTTCATATCCAGCCAAACTAAGCTTCATAAGTGAAGGAGAAATAAAATACTTTACAGACAAGCAAATGCTGAGAGATTTTGTCACCACCAGGCCTGCCCTAAAAGAGCTCCTGAAGGAAGCACTAAACATGGAAAGGAATAACCGGTACCAGCCACTGCAAAAACATGCCAAATTGTAAAGACCATCAAGGCTAGGAAGAAACTGCATCAACTAACAAGCAAAATAACCAGCTAACATCATAATGACAGGATCAAATTCACAAATAAAATATTAACTTTAAATGTAAATGGGCTAAATGCTCCAATTAAAAGACACAGACTGGCAAATTGGATAAAGAGTCAAGACCCATCAGTGTGCTGTATTCAGGAAATGCATCTCACGTGCAGAGACACACATAGGCTCAAAATAAAGGGATGGAGGAAGATCTACTAAGCAAATGGAAAACAAAAAAAGGCAGGGGTGGCAATCCTAGTCTCTGATAAAACAGACTTTAAACCAACAAAGATCAAAAGAGACAAAGAAGGCCATTACATAATGGTAAAGGGATCAATTCAACAAGAAGAGCTAACTATCCTAAATATATATGCACCCAATACAGGAGCACCCAGATTCATAAAGCAAGTCCTGAGTGACCTACAAAGAGACTTAGACTCCCACACAATAATAATGGGAGACTTTAACACCCCACTGTCAACATTAGACAGAACAACGAGACAGAAAGTTAACAAGGATATCCAGGAATTGAACTCAGCTCTGCACCAAGCGGACCTAATAGACATCTACAGAATTCTCCACCCCAAATCAACAGAATATACATTCTTTTCAGCACCACACCACACCTATTCCAAAACTGACCACACAGTTGGAAGTAAAGCACTCCTTAGCAAATGTAAAAGAACAGAAATTATAACAAACTGTCTCTCAGACCACAGTGCAATCAAACTAGAACTCAGGATTAAGAAACTCACTCAAAACCGCTCAACTACATGGAAACTGAACAACCTGCTCCTGAATGACTACTGGGTAAATAATGAAATGAAGGCAGAAATAAAGATGTTCTTTGAAACCAACGAGAACAAAGACACAACATACCAGAATCTCTGGGACGCATTCAAAGCAGTGTGTAGAGGGAAATTTATAGCACTAAATGCCCACAAGAGAAAGCAGGAAAGATCTAAAATTGACACCCTAACATCACAATTAAAAGAATAAGAGAAGCAAGAGCAAACACATTCAAAAGCTAGCAGAAGGCAAGAAATAACTAAGATCAGAGCAGAACTGAAGGAACTAGAGACACAAAAAACCCTTCAAAAAATTAATGAATCCAGGAGCTGGTTTTTTGAAAAGATCAACAAAATTGACAGACCGCTAGCAAGACTAATAAAGAAGAAAAGAGAGAAGAATCAAATAGATGCAATAAAAAATGATAAAGGGGATATCACCAACGATCCCACAGAAATACAAACTACCATCAGAGAATACTATAAATACCTCTATGCAAATAAACTAGAAAATCTAGAAGAAATGGATAAATTCCTCGACACATACATCCTCCCAAGACTAAACCAGGAAGAAGTTGAATCTCTGAATAGACCAATAACAGGAGCTGAAATTGAGGCAATAATTAATAGCTTACCAACCAAAAAAAGTCCAGGACCAGATGGATTCACAGCCGAATTCTACCAGAGGTAAAAAGAGGAGCTGGTACCATTCCTTCTGAAACTACTCCAATCAATAGAAAAAGAGGGAATCCTCCCTAACTCATTTTATGAGGCCAGCATCATCCTGATACCAAAGCCTGGCAGAGACACAACCAAAAAAGAGAATTTTAGACCAATATCCTTGATGAACATCGATGCAAAAATCCTCAATAAAATACTGGCAAACCGAATCCAGCAGCACATCAAAAAGCTTATCCACCATGATCAAGTCGGCTTCATCCCTGGGATGCAAGGCTGGTTCCACATACACAGATCAATAAATGTAATCCAGCATATAAACAGAACCAAAGACAAAAAACACATGATTATCTCAATAGATGCAGAAAGGCCTTTGACAAAATTCAACAACCCTTCATGCTAAAAACTCTCAATAAATTAGGTATTGATGGGATGTATCTCAAAATAATAAGAGCTATCTATGACAAACCCACAGCCAATATCATATTGAATGGGCAAAAACTGGAAGCATTCCCTTTGAAAACGGGCACAAGACAGGGATGCCCTCTCTTACCACTCCTATTCAACATAGTGTTGGAAGTTCTGGCCAGGGCAATCAAGCAGAAGGAAATAAAGGGCATTCAATTAGGAAAAGAGGAAGTCAAATTGTCCCTGTTTGCAGATGACATGATTGTATAGCTAGAAAACCCAATCGTTTCAGCCCAAAATCTCCTCAAGCTGATAAGCAACTTCAGCAAAGTCTCAGGATACAAAATCAATGTGCAAAAATCACAAGCATTCTTATACACCAATAACAGACAGAGAGCCAAATCATGAGTGAACTCCCATTCACAATTGCTTCAAAGAGAATAAAATACCTAGGAATCCAACTTACAAGGGATGTGAAGGACCTCTTCAAGGAGAACTAAAAACCACTGCTCAATGAAATAAAAGAGGATACAAACAAATGGAGAACATTCCATGCTCATGGGTAGGAAGAATCAATATCGTGAAAATGGCCATACTGCCCAAGGTAATTTATAGACTCAATGCCATCCCCATCAAGCTACCAATGTCTTTCTTCACAAATTGGAAAAAACTACTTTAAAGTTCATATGGAACCAAAAAAGAGCCCACATCGCCAAGTCAATCCTAAGCCAAAAGAACAAACCTGGAGGCATCACGCTACCTGACTTCAAACTACACAAGGCTACAGTAACCAAAACAGAGATATAGACTGGTACCAAAACAGAGATATAGACCAGTGGAACAGAACAGAGCCCTCAGAAATAATGCCGCATATCTACAACTATCTGATCTTTGACAAACCTGAGAAAAACAAGCAATGGGGAAAGGATTCCCTATTTAATAAATGGTGCTGGGAAAACTGGGTAGTCATATGTAGAAAGCTGAAACTGGATCCCTTCCTTATACCTTATACAAAAATTAATTCAAGATGGATTAAAGACTTAAATGTTAGACCTAAAACCATAAAAACCATAGAAGAAAACCTAGGCAATAGCATTCAGGACATAGGCATGGGCAAGGACTTCATGTCTAAAACACCAAAAGCAATGGCAACAAAAGCCAAAATTGACAAATGGGATCTAATTAAACTAAAGAGCTTCTGCACAGCAAAAGAAACTACCATCAGAGTGAACAGGCAACCTACAGAATGGGAGAAAATTTTTGCAACCTACTCATCTGACAAAGGGCTAACATCCAGAATCTACAATGAACTCAAACAAATTTACAAGAAAAAAACAAACCCCATCAAAAAGTGGGTGAAGGATATGAACAGACACTTCTCAAAAGAAGACATTTATGCAGCCAAAGGACACATGAAACAATGCTCATCATCACTGGCCATCAGAGAAACGGAAATCAAAACTACAATGAGATACCGTCTCACACCAGTTAGAATGGCGATCATTAAAAAGTCAGGAAACAACAGGAGCTGGAGAGGATGTGGAGAAATAGGAACACTTTTACACTGTTGGTGGGACTGTAAACTAGTTCAACCATTGTGGAAGTCAGTGTGGCGATTCCTCAGGGATCTAGAACTAGAAATACCATTTGATGCAGCAATCCCATTACTGGGTATATACCCAAAGGATTATAAATCATGCTGCTATAAAGACACATGCACATGTATGTTTATAGCGGCACTATTCACAATAGCAAAGACTTGGAACCAACCTAAGTGTCCAACAATGATAGACTGGATTAAGAAAATGTGGCACATACACACCATGGAATACTATGCAGCCATAAAAAATGATGAGTTCACGTCCTTTGTAGGGACATGGATGAAACTGGAAACCATCATTCTCAGCAAACTATCCCAAAGACAAAAAACCAAATGCCGCATGTTCTCACTCATAGGTGGAAATTGAACAATGAGAACACATGGACACAGGAAGGGGAACATCACACACCGGGGACTGTTGTGGGGTAGGGGGAGCGGGGAGGGATAGCATTAGGAGATATACCTAATGCTAAATGAGTTAATGGGTACAGCACACCAACATGGCACATGTATACATATGTAACAAACCTGCACGTTGTGCACATGTACCCTAAACTTAAAAGTATAATAATAATAAAATTAAAAAAATACAGTTAAATTATTGAGTGGAGAGTACAGGGATTGAAAAGACATCTTTTGCCTGTGGTCTTATGGAAGAACACAAGAAGACGTATTTTTCACTCCTCTGCCATTAGGGTACTTTTGTGGTAAAGTTTGAGAAGCACAAATGCTGAGAAGCCTCTAGTTTAGCCCTGTGCCCCAGAGTCTATTATCTCAGAGCTATACACTCTCTGAGGAAATGCTTTCCTTCTAAGCATCCAAGCCCCGCAGCAAGCACTGGAATAGGTCATTAGAGTTAATTAGAATGATATTAATAATGAGTTACATAAATAGTTGCAAAGAGAGAGGCAGAGGCCTTGCAATAACCCTCATTGTCACGTGTTAGTAAAGCGAGGCTTAGTGAGGTTGAATGACATATCCCACAATGTACTTCCATCCATGTTCTCCTCTAACAGCGCTTTGCTATGCGTGGCTCTGGCCTGGTCTTGATCATCATAGGATGATTCGGAACATACTACATTTTTTTTGGTTGTTCATTTCCAGGGCATCTACCTTTCTACATTTTTTCCTTTTAAATTTAACCCAAGACTAGATAAATTACAGCTCATGTGCAAAACGTGTACTCAATAGTCAAAACCCACAGAGCTCTGTCCTGCTCTGTTGCTAATGGCCTACATTTCTTCAGGTTACCTGCATGTATCCCGTTTCAGCTGTCTTTACAGCCGTGTCGACTAGACCTTCCCGGCCGGCCATTGTGTGGAAGAAAAACTCAGTTGGTGTCAAACCGGAATAAAAGCTATTAGCCACAAAGCCTTTGGCAGCTGGGAGCTAAAGAGAGGTAGAAAAAAGAAAAATCAAACAAAAAAAGTTCAAGGCCCACGATTCTGAAATCCACTCAAATCAGAAAATGCCCCACCTTGAGACTATAAATACCTGGCCAGTATATTCTCACTAAATGGCAGGCTTTCTTTGCCCTTTCCTTATGGAGAAATACTTTATACCAGGGACAAGGAGAATGAGGGCCCAGCCAGGGCTGGTGCTGGTGCCAGTGGCAGGCAAGTGGCCCAAGAGAGGGAAACCTAAGATCTGGATGCTCTCCTTAAAATAGGCAAGCAGTCAAGGACCTCAGAGGACACCCTGTGGATGGAGGCTGCCTGCCCATTCCCTGGGAAATGACACCTTCAAGATATCCTTCCTGTGGGCCAGACCTGCCCACCTACAAAACATAACCATGCATTGTCAATGTCTACAGGGTTTCATTCTGGGCACTGAAAATGTTCTAAAAGTAGGTTGTAGTGATGGCTGCACAGCTCTGTGATTAACAGTCACTGAACTGTGTGCCTTACATGGGTAAATTATATATGAAGTATAATTGTAATAATTACATATGAAGTATATATGTATTTAAAGTTTATTTATTTGTAGAGATGGGGTCTCGCTATGTTGGCCAGACGAACTCCTGGCCTCAAGCAATCCTCTTGCCTTGGCCTCCCAAAGTGCTAGAATTTCAGGCATGAGACACTGTGCCCGGCCTGAAGTGTATCTTAATAAAATGGCAAAAAATACATATATAAAACTCCACATGAAATTGGCCAACGGTCTTTGATCTGAATAGGTCTGTGTTCCTTGGAGGAAAGTGTAGATTAAGAGATCTTCACAGTTCTACCTGATCTGCTACTGCTTACCTTTGAGTGTTTTTCAAAATGAGGCAAGGACCTGTTTTCAAAGCCGTCTGGCACTCGAGAGCCACTGATGGCCTGCTGTCCCACACAGGCAATCATCTGTGATATGTTAATGAAGGAACCTGGGGACATGGACCAGAAATGTAACATTCATTTACCAAAATAACACTAATTGAAGTGCATGCAGATTGGAAGGGTAAAACAGGAATAGGCCCTTATGCTCAATGAGGTCATGGTCCTGGAACAGTAGAAGACAGAAATACAATCAAGACAACAAGGAGCTGTCAGGAACCCAAGAAAGGCGGAACGACGGCGAGAGGAGCCAGGAGCATGTGTGGGTTGGAGGAAAGGCTGGGGAAGTGACAGGTGAGTCTTCAAGGAGGCTTCAGCAAGTCCAGGTTGGACTCCTGGAGGACATTATGATTTGGACATAAAGGGAGAGGGGGAGGAATTCCAAAGTGGGTGGGAAAGTAGGAAGCAAAGACAGAGAAATGGAAAAGTGTGGGCTATGTCCTGAGGGTAGGAAGCAGGAGAGCAATGGGGTAAAAGGCAGCAAAGTTAAAGAGACTGGACTTTATCCTGTTTAAAAAAAAAGTGTACAGAAATAGAAGCACAGAGGTTTTGAATTTGAATGCATTATCATAAAACCAAATGCTTTGAGGGCCTCGGTATCTACAAAATAGAAGAATTATGCCACATCATTAAGTACATTAAAAAATCCCTGGCTTTCTTCTGCTTCAACCTGCCTGACCTGCTGGGCTCAAGTGATCCTCCCACCTCAGCCTCCTGATTAGCTGGGACGACAGGCACAAGCCACCACGCCCAGCTAATTTTTTTTTTTTTGTATTTTTTGTAGAGATGGGGTTTTGGCATATTGCCCAGGCTGATCTCAAACTCCTGGGCTCAAGCAATCAATCGGCCTCGGCCTCAGCCTCCCAAAGTGCTGGGATTACAGGCATGAGCCACTGCATCTGGCCTCATTTTTTTTTAAAGACCACGTTGCTCAAAGCACCCTCAAACTCAGAATCCAGACACATTACCAACAAGTTCCTTCAAAGCAGTTAAACTTCCCAAAATGCAAATAATTAAGTCTCTCTCTCTGATTTAAAAAGATCCCTTAAATAAATGAAATGTCTGTTTGGAGCTGTGACTATCACATTTTCTGGAGCCAAACAGCCTGTACGGAGAACACACTGCCAGCAGGTGAGAGAGGGGCATGCAGACCTTTGGAGCCGCACAGAGCCATGGTGAGGGGGCTGTTGCTCTTGTCCAGCTCCCGGAGGCAGGCACTGCCAGCGTGGTCACGGATCACAGACAGCTCCTTCAGGATCAGTGCCTAGTGGGAGAAAAGGAGATCCTTGGTGGGTTGTCCTCATTGTCTCTGTGGATTACAAATGTTCAATCTAACATTTAAAGAAATTTGAAAATACTGAGGCAAGATGCCCGATTTCCGATCAGTAAATGTTTCAGAACCTTAGAGGAGCAAAATGCCCTGGCTATATGAACATGTACATCTTCTACAAGGTTCTAAAATTGGTGTATAAGGCAAACAGTTTATCTTTTTTTTGTTTTTGTTGGAGACAGGATCTCACTCTGTTGCTGAGGTTGGTGTACAATGGCATAATCACAGCTCACTGCAGCCTCAAACTCCCGGGCTCAAGTGATCCTCCTGCCCCAGACCCCTGAGTAGCTAGGACTACAGGTATATGTCCCTACCAGGCCTGGCTAATTTTTAAAATTTTTTTTGTAGAGATGGGGTCTTGCTATACTGCCCAGGTTGGACTTGAACTCCTGGCCTCAAGGGATCTTCCTGCCTTGATTATAGGCATAAGCCACCAAGCCTGGCCTAAAATTGACAGTAATAAAAACTTGAAGAATCCTTTAAATGGCCCATAAGGTAGAATGTATGGCTTTGTGTATACTACCCTACACAACAAAATATCTGTATATAAATAGCTGTGTGGACACACACATGCACCCCATACAAATATATAAGATAATATGTGGTATGTAAAAGAGAATTGCCTGTACTATTTGTAAATTTGTCTTTCTACTTTTTCTTGCCAAGCACACATCTGAATGTCTGCAAGCTAGGCATGTGATGAGGTGACTTCACAAGAATATTCCGGCTCATGAGCTCATCCACAGTTACTCCTCAACTTACAAACTAGGATGCTGAATCAGTTACAAGTCTGGTTCCATGAAAAATTGCTGCTGCCGAGGTCTCAAGTAATTTTCTAGGAGGTACCGGTGAGGGATATCCTTTTCTCTCTCTCTAAGACTCAGTAAGATTAAGAATGAGCTAATGGTAAATACCTCACAAAATTCTGGTTTCTCCCTGCTTTAGAAAATGTATTTCATTAGAAAACTTCCCAATGCTTAAAGAGCCTTTCTTCCACACTCAGGTGAGTCAAAGCTCAGTGCCACGGGTTTATCGGTGAGGCAGAAGACGGCCAGGTGAAAGCCTGGTGCACTCAGACTGCTGAGGGAGTTTCAGGTTCTCACAGGCTGGTGGTGATTCTGATTCTGACCCATGCTGGTTGAGATCTTAGCTAAAATAGTTTCAAATGAGGGGCAGCAGGCTGGGGATGTGACTATTAGACATGAATTCTCCCTCTTCCGCATCCAAGTCTCTTTCAAAGACCATACATTCAAAGAGCTGTGGTGAGGCTGGGCACGGTGGCTCATGCCTGTAATTCCAGCACTTTGGGAAGCCGAGGTGGGTGGATCACCTGAGGTCAGGAGTTCGAGACCAGGCTGGCCAACATGGCAAAACCCCGCCTCTACTAAAAATGCAAAAAAAAAATTAGCTGGGCATGGTGGTGGGCGCCTGTAATCCCAGCTACTTAGGATGTTGAGGCAGGGATAATTGCTTGCACCCAGGAGGTAGAGGTTGCAGTGAGATGAGATTGCACCACTGCACTCCAGCCTGGGCGACAAAGTGAGACTCCATCTTAAAACAAAACAACAACAAAAAAACTGGCTGGGCGTAGTGGCTTACACCTGTAATCCCAGTACTTTGGGAGGCCAAGGTGGGCAGATCACGAGGTCAGGAGATCGAGACCGTGCTGGCCAACATGGTGAAACCCTGTCTCTACTAAAAATACAAAAATTAGCTGGTCATGGTGGCATGTGCCTGTAATCCCAGCTACTTGGGAGGGTGAGGCAGGAGAATTGCTTGAACCAGGGAGTCAGACGTTGCAGTGAGCCAAGATCGTACCACTGCACTCCAGCCTGGCTGGAGTGCTTCATAAAACTATGAAAAGCGAGACTCCGTCTCAAACAAAAACAAAAACAAAAAAAACCAAACCCCCAAAAACCAAAGAGCTGTGGTGTCAGTTTCTACTTGAAGGATGCTGAAAATAGAAAAGGCAGGAGCACTCGAGTACCAGTTACAGAAGGGACCTGAGTGTGCCACCAGAACAAGAGCAGCCTCGTGTGGCCGAATGAACAGATGGCTATGTTTTCACCACCTGGATGTGAAAGTTAGGAGGGACATGAGGATCTGATGAAAGGCCCTACCCTCAGGAAACAAACAAGGACACACACAGTGAGCCCAGGGCCCCAACAGGACAGACGAGGACATACACAGTGAGCCCTGGGCCCCAACAGGACAGACGCCAATGCCTTGACTTGCCCACTCCTTTGCTACCTCTATTCATGGCTCAGCACAACCCCAGAGAGCACCACCGTAGCCACTGTGCACGGCAAGTGGCGACCCTGAACCAAAGGGCCGGGCTCACCTCCAGGGTCTCCTCAGCAGTGCAGCCAGGCTGCTGCTGCAGCTTGCCCGTGTTCAGGGCTTCGATGTACTCATCACATTTCTTGTAGCCGGCATTCAGCAACTCATACTTGGCCTTCAGCAGTCCTTGGCCAGGTGTGACATCACCGATCCCAATTGAGAAACCACGGTTAGCTGTTGAGTTGGTAGAGCAGGAAGAAAGGGCCATAAATGAGACTCAGCAAACCTACTAAATACAGTTTATGCCTGCTAGATATAGTTTGTACTATATATAAACTATGTATGTATAGTTTAAAGTATAAAAAAGTGTATATCTTCACAGAATTCATCACAATTCAATTAAATAATGGCTTTCTTTCTCAGTCATTAGGGAGTTACACAAAATGACTAGGACTCAACTGACTTCTCTCAGAGACCTTACGATCTGGTGGGGAAACACAATACCGTTTCCAACTATTATCTAAAGCAGAGTGACATTAAACACTAAAGGGTGGCCTGAGGGCTGGGTGCAGTGGCTCACGCCTATAATCCCAGCACTTTGGAAGGCTGAGGCAGGAGGCTCGCTTGATCCCAGATGTTTGTGATCAGCCTCATCTCTACAAAAACCTTAAAAAATTAGCCGGGCATGGTGGCACATGCCAGTAGTCCCAGCTACTTGGGAGGTGGAGGTTGCAATGAGCCATAATCACATCACTGCGCTCCAGCCTGGGCAACAGAGCAAGACCCTGTGTCACACACACAAAAAAGTATTCTCCAACTTTGATGGAACTAGGTGCCACCATTGATCCTAGCCACAATATACTGTATGTAGAAATAAAGAGAGTGAATGAGTGGCTTCTGGCTTAGCAGGATAGGAAGGTATGACCTACAAGTATCTGTAGATGAGAGGACTAATGGGCCTGGAAAGGCTCAGAAATGAGATCATTAGGTTCTGCAACTGCTGGAAATGATGAATGTGCTGGAAACAAGGAAACCTAGTGGAAAGTCTGTATAAGGAAGGCTCCAGGCCCTTATTCCTGTAGGAGATGGGAGTTCGCTCCCAGCGAAATGGAATCAGAGAGGCTCTGGGTCTGGGAATACCAGGCAGATGAAATAACTGTAAACAAGAGCACTGAGGGAAAGTCTGTATATTCCTTTTATATAAAAAAACTGAGAGGTCCATCAACCAGTCAGCTCCATTTCCAATCAGTGTTTCAGTCCTTACTCCTCAAGGACCACCAGATATTTGAGGAAAGATTTTAACATGAAAGACAAAAGACACAAATGCACAGGAAAAAGAAAGTAAAAGGATACAGAAAATTCAGGAAGCAAATATAATAAAACTATGAATAATATTCTCTCAGAGTGATCAGAGAAGATACATTCAGGGATCAAAACAAGAAAGCTTTAAAAACAAAACAGCCTGGGCATAGTGGCTCACGCCTGTAATCCCAGCACTTTGGGAGGCCGAGGTGGGCAGATCACTTGAGGTCAGGAGTTCGAGACCACCCTGGCCAACATGGTGAAACCCCGTCTCTACTAAAAACACAAAAATTAGCCGGGCATGGTGGCAGGCACCTGTAGTCCCAGTTACTCGGGAGGCTGTGGCAGGAGAATCACTTGAGCCTGGGAGGCGGAGGTTGCAGCGAGCTGAGATTGCATCACTGCACTCCAGCCTGGCGACTGAGCAAGACTCTGTCTCAAAAAAAAAAAAAAAAAAAAAAAAAAGAAACAAAAACACTACCTGTGAATAAGTATATTGAAAAATAGTATTGGAAATTAAATACATGACAGTGATAAAATTTTAAAAATCAACAGAAGTATTAAAAGATAAAGTGAATCTAGAATAAAGAAATGGCAAATGGAAAAGAAGATAATTAGATAATTAATCTAGGAGTTCTAATATGTAATTAACTGAAGTTCCAAAAAGAAAGAACAGAGAAAGTAAAAGAGAGAAAATTATTAAAGAAATAACATAAAATTTCCCGAATGGAAGGACACACAGCTGCAGATTAAATGAAATTACTCAGTGCTTAGCACAGTGAATGAAAAAAGACCCACACCAAAGGTATATTGTTGTGAACTTTCACAGTGAGAACAGAGAGGATTCTGAAAGTTTCTAAAATGAAAAAAACAATTCAAGGGCCAGGCATGGTAGCTAATGCCTGTAATCCTAGCACTTTGGGAGGTGGAGGCAGGTGGATCACTTGAGACCAGGAGTTCAAGACCAACCTGGGCAACATGGTGAGACTTCATTTCTACAAAACTTAGTTGGGCATGGTGGCACATGCCTGTAGTCCCAGCTGCTCGAGAGGCTGCGTGAGCCAAGATCACACCACTGCACTACAGCCTGGGTGACAGAGCAAGACCCTATCTTCAAAAAACAAAAAAAAATCAAATACAAAAACTGGGGAATAAGAACGACAATACCTGTTAACAACAACTCTGAAAGCAAGAAGAAAGTAGAGCAGTACCTTCAAAATTCTGAGGGAAAATAATTTTCAATCTAAAATTGTATACCCAGGCAAGTATAAGAGTGGAATAAAGTTTTGGGGGCATGCAAACATCACTTGACTCATGGCCCACTCAAAGCATGAGCAAACAAACAAACAAACAAAATAGAACAGTGAAAGCATAGTAGGCAAATATTGAGTAATCTTGGAGAACTGAATCATGGATAGCCCCAAGTGTTCTAGTGCTTCCACAGGGACCTTGGAAGCAGCCCATCAAGGATGGTTTATAATCTAACCCTGTCTAGAAGACCGTAGGGAGCTACTGCTGGTTTTGAGAAGAGAACTGAAAAGCAAATTCAAATCTGTTGTGAAACTATTCAGTACTGAGTTAATTTAATTAATAACAGCACACATGATTTAGCCTGGAATGAGTATCTTTTTCTGTATGTATATGTGTGGTGGGGATGAAATGGCAGTAAAAGAACAAAATAACGTAAACCCTTAAGACTCTAACAATTGCAGCTTTAACTAAAAGAAGGATGCTGAGATACTTACACAGGTAGACAGGAGCCAGCCTGGCGAGCCGTGACATGGCATCTGCAGCTTCATTCTGTCCCCAGTCTCGCAGCAAAATGTAAAAAATATTGTTCTTGGATCCTGACCCTAGGGTTCCTTTGTCCATGCTGCCACTCATCAACTCACTGTTCTGGATTGTAACATCTGGAAGAATGATTATATATTTAGACAACAATTATTTATTACTTTGCCTTATTCCAAAATGAATTTGAGACAGTTGAGAAAATATGTTCCCATACTGACACTTAAAGCAGAACAAACAGAAATTCTCCTCAAAGCTTTTTTTTGGGGGGAGGGAGGGGGGGTTAAAGGAAAACTTGGGAATTTTTGAAAAATATAGAAACTCCAGTTAGTGTGTAGTCCTAACCCTGAAATATACCAGTTGACCCTCACTCTCCTCATCTGTGAACTGTGGGTAACAGTATCAAGCACTTGTCATCTTTATGTTATGGGATATTTTGAGCATCAGATGAAATAACATACAGTGAAGTGCTCTATAAACTATAAATAATTTGTTACTCATATAAGATATTAAATATTAACAAAGGTACCATCATGTACAGCCTATACAACAACCAAATGAAATTCATATCCAAAAAGAAACAAAACAGTCTAAAACAAGAAGCTGAAGTATTTTGAAGATCAGAGAGCATATTTCCAAAGAAATAAATCTGAGGAGTATCAGTGCCCTTCAAAACATTTGCTCTTCATTAGAAGACAGCAGAAATCCTGACCTTCAGAAGAACTCTGCAATTCAGTTCTTCAGTACAGAGTCCTGGAGATCCACTTCTAGTCCCAAGGTCTCACTAGCAAAGCCCATTCTAAATCAGTGCTACTCAAACTAGGCTGCTAGGGAACTGTTTGGTAGTGGTCTGGGTGAGTGAACGTGCTCACATCAGAAAGTAACTCAATGGATGCTGGCTAAACAGCAGGGCTCTGTGGACTGCACTTCGGGTTGAACTGGTTTAGACAGACTCAGATGACTTGCATGTAAATCCTTTCCCTGGCTGGGTGAGGTGGCTCACACCTGTAATCCCAGCACTTTGGGAGGATGAGGTGGGACGATTGCTTGAGCCTAGGAGTTCGAGACCAGCCTGGGCAACGTAGGGAGAACCTGTTTGTCTTTGAAAAAAAAAAAAAAAAATCAATCCAGGCTGGGTGCAGTGGCTCATGCCTATAATCCCAGCACTTTGGGAGGGCAAGGCAGATCACTTGAGGTCAGGAGTTCAAGACCAGCTTGGCCAACACGGTGAAACCCCGTCTCTACTAAAAATACAAAAATAAGCCAGGCATGGTGGTGGGCGCCTGTAATCCAAGCTACTCAGGAGGCTGAGGCAGGAGAATCGCTTGAACCCAGTAGGTGGAAGTTGCAGTCAGCTGAGACTGCACCACTGCACTCCAGCCTGGGTGACAGAGCAAGACTTAGTCTCAAAAAAAAAAAAAAAAAAAAAAAAAATTAAATGCCTTAAATAGTAAAATCCTTGTTTATTGCCCCCCCCGCCGCCAAAAAGATGACAAAATACAGACAAACTACTAAGTGAGAAAAACTAGTCACTTAAGACAAAACACATTTGGAGAGAACATTCTAACCACTGCGTCATGTGTCTACATGATCTCTACTTTTAAGAGAAATGGGGAATTACATCTGAGAGAAGAAAAACCAGCTACATTTTCCTGAAGAAAAAACTTTCCACCTAAGGCTTACAGAAACAATGAATTTGCTTGCTTCGCGAAGGTACCAGCAAAGCTGATGACCAGCCACTTGCTTTTCTGTCACGTTCCTCCTTCTCCCCACCCGAGTTCCGTCCACTCACAGGAATCATTGGCACAGAGATCTTCCCCTTTGCCACAGTACTGCTTGCCCTTGGTTCGCAGGTTGGCCCTCACTGGATTGTCATCGCTAGGCCTGAGGATGACACTGAAGATCTGCTTTCCCGTCCACAGGGTGACAGGCTGAGGGGGGGAGGAAGCCTGAGAGTCAGTGGGCTGAGCCTGGTCTCAATCCCCCTTCAGTAGACGAAGCCAGGCGGCCTAGGGACTGCACTCAAGCCTAGCACCAACACGGTTCCACTCATTTCACCAGTCTACCCCCACAGACACATACACACACCTGTGCACCAACACACAACTCCCACACACACCTTTAGGATTGTAGGCGGTGGGAGGCGAACTTTAATTTTCTCATCCTTGCCAACCAGTATTGAAGCAATGATTTGGCAAGCCTTGGCTCGATCAAAGAAAGTGTCCTTGAGAGTGAGGAGATAGGCACCTAAGCATTAGGAACCAACACAAAACAAAGAAAAGGAATGAAATTGTGAGAATACTGCAAGGTTTCAATTTTAAAATAAATTTGAACCATGACCAACAGCGTGAATTGAAACAAACAGCTGCTTACTGGCTTTCTCCTCCAACTAGGATCTACCTCCACAGGAACGTGACTTTGTTTTGTTCACTGCTGTATCCCCAGGCAAAAGGGACAGATTCTAAGCCAGACACTAGGTTTAGAAAATGCCCAGTCCATGAGAGGAGCTCATTAAAGACTTGCTGAATTAATGAATAACCAACCAATTAAAAAAAAAAAGAAAAAAAAAAACCCACGGGGAGGTTCATGATCAAACTTAGTAAACAAAAAACCAAATTAAACACAGGCTATTAAATAGCTTTTCAAGTCATCACATGAATCACTATGAACGAGGAACACTGTGTTCCAGTCAGAAATCTCCTTTCAAGTGAACTTCACCAACCTACCTGTTAGAAAATCCTGAATAGCAGCAATCAGCGGTTCCCCATTCCTCGGGGTTACAAGATTTGCTTTAGTCTGTAGGAAAAGTAAGCGCAGTCAGTTAGCTGTTCTCGGATGCATGATGCAGCCCAAAGCCTGAATCACAAGGTTTTTGAATAGTTATGAACAAATACAGAGTAGCAGAAGGACGAGGCTGAGAAATGAAAGCCAGGGGTCTGAATCCCAGCTTTGTCACTAACTCCCAGTTCCTTTATCTGTCAAGGGGAGAGAAAAAAATACCAGCAAGATTGACCTAGGAGGGTCCTACCAACACCAAAATGAAATATCAAGTGAAGTTGTTTCAGAATTCTATGAAAAACTCTACCCATGTAAGAAGATTTTATTGTTGTTTGTTTTTGAGACAGAGTCTTGCTTATAGCCCAGGTTAGAGTGCAGTGGTGCAAATATGGCTCACTGCAGCCTCAACCTCATGGGGCTCAAGTGATCCTCCCAGCTCAGCCTCCCAAGCAGCTGGGACTACAGGCCCACATCATCATGCCCAGCTAAGTTTTTGCATTTTTTTTGTGGAGACGGGGTCTTACTTTGTTGCCCAGACTGGTCTCGAACTCCTGGGCTCAACTGATCCTCCCACCTTGGCCTCCCAAAGTGCTGGTATTACAGGCATGAGCTACTGCACCCAGCCCTATTGTTATTACTATAGGTGCTTCTCCAAAGAAAATTCATTTCTGTGAATGATGAGGAGCGTTGTGACCTCTGAAGTCAACCAATTCCACACTTGTCCACAATGATGACAGAACTGTTAAATGTCCCTTGGTTAAGACATTACGTTCTAATAATAATCAATCCAACAACAGAATTTAATTAAACATTTAATGAGGGCCTACGTTGGGCAAAAAAGGGTGTTAGGTAGTAAAACATAATTAAGTCATGTAAAGAAGGCTCTGTGTGTATGAGAGTACATTTGCTCTAATCTTGATATGAAAATGCACATGTGTATTTGTGGGTTTTCTGGGCCTTTTCACCCAGAAAGCAGGGTCCTCTCAGACAAAGGCCCATTACCACTTACTTCTGAGCCACTATCCAAAGCAGGGACCCTTCAACCAGAGTGGGAGACAGCTATTTAGCCAGATGTGCCTCTTCATTGCACACCACCTGACTGCTCTTACTCCTGGTTTAGAGACTCTCTCTGAGGTGGGATACAGGTAGTCTACGGATAGAAGCAGAGTGCAAGGGGCTGAGATTAGTGTATTTTGAAAAGGTCTCCTGGGTAATTTGGGCCCACATCCAAATTAGAGCCCTATGCACTACACGGAGAACAGCATTGCTAAATCAGAACGATAGGTATTTTCTTACTTGAAATTGAGGAAACTTGTCCACATGGTAACTAAGGATTCTTCTACCCCAAAATCCTTGGAGACTTTGTTTTATTATTGCCATTTGTAACCAATGAAATATGCAGTTGTAACACAATGTCCACAGTATGGATCCTCAATGGCAGAGTTGACAGCAAAGTCTAAATGGTTGGTTGCAAGCTGATAGCTATTATTTCAAGCAGCATTCTAAACATTACTTTTTGTTACAAAAATAATATATGCTCATTATAGAAAATAAATCTAAGGCCAGGTGCAATGGCTCACACCTGTAATCCCAGCATCTGGGGAGGCCGAATCGGGCGGATCACCTGAGGTCGGGAGTTCAAGACCAGCCTGACGAATGTGGTGAAACCCTGTCTCTACTAAGAGTACAAAATTAGCTGGGCATGGTGGCAGACGCCTGTAATCCCAGCTACTCAGGAGGCTGAGGCAGGAGAATCACTTGAACCTGGGAGGTAGAGGTTGCAGTGGGCTGAGATCACATCATTGCACTCCAGCCTGGGCAACAAGAGTAAAACTCCGTCTCAAACAAACAAACAAAAAAAAAAAGAAAAAGAAAAAGAAAAAAAATCTAAACGTATAGACAACTTAAAACCCCAAAATGATGCATGCAATACTAAAAGCCTAAACCAAAACAGGTTAAAAGCATCACATCAGAAATGGTAATAAGTGATTTTGGAGGTAGGGACACTTACAACTATAAGACTTACCAGTTCCTAATATAGGAAGCTGGAATACTGAAAAAAGAAAGCCTGAAGCTCTAAAATACTCAGTAGTTGGGGATCATGAAGTTCAGGAGGAGAGAATCCTACACAGCCGGTGCCATGTCCCACTGTGCTATTGCTGGGTCAGGAGTGAATAGTACATGTAGTGCCAACAGGTTTTTTTTTTTTCTTCTTTTGAGACAGGGTCTTGCTCTGTTGCCCAGGCTGAACTGCAGTGGTGCAATCACAGCTCACTGCAGCCTCAACCTCCTGGGACCAAGCAATCCTCCCATTTCAGCTTCCTGAGTAGCTGGGACTACAGGCGTGCGCCACCACACCTGGCTAATTTTTGTAGTTTTCGTAGAGATGGAGTTTCGCCATGTTGTCCGGGCTGGTCTTGAACTCCTGAACTCAAGTGAACCACCTGCCTAGGCTTCCCATAGTGCTGGGATTACAGGCCTGAGCCACAGCGCCAGCCTGTGCCAACAGTTAAAGCTCAACTGTAAGCTCCTTAAGAGCAGGCACGTGCCTCACTATCACCGATCTCCTGCAGCATCTACTGGGCACTCCTTATGCATTTGTCAAATAAAGTGGTGGTAAGAGTTATTATCATTATGTATAATACTGCATCCTCTAAGAAGACGAAGTATGTAATATAGTTTAGGAAGGTTTCCATTCAGAATGTTCAATAAAATGTGCTGGTGCTTAAAGAATCTTCAGCTACTGGAAAATTTACTTAGGTAGGACATCTTCTTCCCCTGTGACAGCCAACATTGATATTGCTATATTCTTTTCTTACCTTGTCATAACTGGCCCTCATGTATACATTTTCTCCCAGAACCCACATTTATAGGCCAGAAAATCCCCTCAACGCATCTGTTACAGACCCTAACTCTCATGTATATACTATAATTTCTAAGAGATTCTTCAAAGGCTCAAAAGAAACCAATAAAAAGAGAGATATATAGGCAGTTAGTGGTCGGTTTAAGAACAGAAAGAGCCTGGCTTCTTTGGCGTTGTTAGTTGTGGTGGTGTTTTCATGTAAGTTTCCTTTGCCTCCTTTCAAGGAGCTGTTATGCAAAAGCTGGGCTGTGCCACCCTACATACCCCCATCAGAACAAGGGCCTCTGCTTTAGCTTCTTCTGTTTGAGGAAGATGAAGGTTCATTTCATCACCATCAAAGTCAGCATTATAGGGTGTACAGACACACTCATTAAATCTGAAGGTCCGGTGGGGCTTGACCCTGGCCTGTGGAACACAAAACAAAACAAAACAGGAAGAGGACTTAGGCATTTATCCAAAAGCTTCTCTGTTTTGAAACATTAAAAATGGCTTCCTGGAATACTGGGCACTGGCTTAAGAAAGTAGATTTCCAGTATGTTCTGTCAAGTGATATATATCATTTAGGACTCATTCCCAGTCTGGCCAACATGGTGAAACCCCATCTCTACTAAAAATACAAAAATTAGCCAGGTGTGGTAACACATGCCTATAATCCCAGTAACTTGGGAGGCTGAGGCAGGAGAATCGCTTGAACCCAGGAGGTGGAGGTTGCAGTGAGCCAAGATCGCGCCATTGCACCCCAGCCTGGGTGATAGAGCGAGACTCCATCTCAAAAAAAGAAAAAAAAAAAAAGACTCATTCGAGAAGCTTTATTAGATTGAACCAAAGCAGTGAATTTCAACAAAGGCGCCAGTGTGAAGGCTCCCACTGGCCAAGGATGTCATGGTTTCAAGTATCAAAAAGATTAACAGCAGAAGTTGATTAAAATAAACCAACTAAATAAAAACCCATGTGTTTATAATGACACTGAAAAAACAGAAAGTCAAAACAAACAAAAAACCCCAATCAATCTAGTTGGAAGTTACTGAGCACTAACCCCCTTTTTTTTTGAGACGTAGTCTCACTCTGTTGTCCTGGCTGGAGTGCAATGGTGCAATCTCGGCTCACTGCAACCTCTGTCTCCCGGGTTCAAGCAATTCTCCTGCCTCAGCCTCCTGAGTAGCTGGGACTACAGGCGTTTACTGCCACACCAGGCTAATTTTTATATTTTAGTAGAGATGAGGTTTCACCATTGGTCTAGAACTCCTGACCTCATGATCCGCCCACCTTGGCCTCCCAAAGTGCTGGCATTACAGGCTTGAGCCACCGCACCTGGCCCTTTCTTTAAAAAAAAAAAAATTTTTTTTCCTAAGCACACGAACACAGGAGAGCACTAAGTTCTTACTTCCCAAAATCACAATAAAGGAAAAAGACTTAACCATTTACACAGCCTTTGCTTTATGAGCTGCACCTCTGGGCAAGCAAACAGACCTAATTAACAAGCGGGTATTTTCCATTATAAGAATTGTAGGTAATAAATGTTAAAGGAACGATAGATTCAAAAAGTGGGGTTCCATTTTGCAGCCCAATAAAATAACACAGGCAATGATAACAAATGAATTAATTAGAATGAATTCATTGCTTGCATCTTGACTCAAACAAACCACAAAAAGACAATTTTGAGACAAATGGGGAAATCTGAATATGAACTAGGTATGGACCTGGGAATGCCAAGAGATGACTGTTAATTTTGTTAGGTATGATTACAGCACTGTGGTTATGTAAGTTTTTCTTACAAATGTAAACTGGATACATATTGAAAAATGACACAGATATGGGTTCATCGAAGAAAAATGGGAAAGATAAAACAAGTGTGGCTAAACCTTGAAAATTATTGCATATAGAGGATGGGAATATGTAAGTTCATTAGACCATTCTTTCTACTTTAGTGTACATTTGAAAATTTTCTTTTTCTTTTTTTGAGACGGAGCTTCATTCTGCTGCCTAGGCTGGAGTGCAGTGGCGCAATCTCGGCTCACTGCAACCTCTGCCTCCTGGGTTCAAGCAATTCTCCTGCCTCAGCCTCCCAAGTAGCTGGGATTACAGGCACGTGCCACCACACCCGGCTAATTTTTTGTATTTTAGTAAAGATGGGGTTTCATTATGCTGTCCAGGCTGGTCTCGAACTCCTGACCTCAAGTGATACACCTTGGCCTCCCAGAGTGCTGGGATTACAGGCATGAGCCATCACACCTGGCCTCAAAATTTTCAAACAAAAAAAATTTCTACTTCTTTTTTTAGAGACAGGGTCTCATTACGTTGTCTAGGCTGGAGTGCAGTGGCTATTTATAGGCGTGATATAGCACACTGTAGCCTTGAACTCCCAGGCCCACGTGATCCTTCTGCCTCCGCCTCCTGAGTAGCTGGGGCTATAGGTGTGTGCCATTGCCAGTCAAAAAAACCTAATAATTATATTTTGTAATGTTCCAAAGCCAAGCAAAACATTCCAGAAAGAGAAGGCTTTAGTTAACCCTCTACATTCTCACAATCATAATCCCATAATCACAAACTACTTCTTAGTTATTTCTACTATTATGTAAATGACTGATATAATGTGTTCAGACGACCCCAAAATGAATCTATGAAAAAATATTACCATAAGAGGCTGCTTAAACACTGTTTGCAAAGGCTCATGGATTAACAGCTTTACAGATAGGAGAATCTATGAATATTGAACAAATTAAAGCTGTATTTCATTTCCATTTTAAATCTCCAGAAAAAGGAACTGCTGCTGTTGCAAAACTAAATCACCAAAAAAATATGGTTTAAGGTCTTAGTTGGAGGATTACTGCAAAGAAAAAATCTTTTAAGCATTTTAGTTGCTTAGTTAATATGCAAAGTTAAATCAAAAGTCAATTTTCTGGCTAGGCACAGTGGGTCATACCTATAATCCCAGCACTCTGGGAGGCTAAGGTGGGAGGATCCATTGAGCACAGGAGATTGCGACCCATCTGGGCAATACACCAAGACCTCAGCTCCACTTATTAAAAAAAAAAAAAAAAAAAAAGGGTGGGCACAGTGGCTCATGTCTGTAATCCCAGCACTTTGGGAGGCCAAGGTGGGTGAATCACCTGAGGTCAGGAGTTTGAGACCAGCCAGGCCAACATGGTGAAATCCTGCCTCAACTAAAAATACAAACATTAGCTGGGCGTGGTGGCATGCACCTGTAACTCCAGCTACTTGAGAGGCTAAGGCAGGAGACTCACTTGAACCTGGGAGGCAGAGGCTGCTGTGAGCCAAGACTGCGACACTGCACACCAGCCTGGGCAATAGAGTGAGACTCTGTCTCAAAAAAAAAAAAAAAAAGCTGGCCATCATGGCACATGCCTGTAGTCCTAGCTACGGTAGGCTGAGGTGGGAGGATCGCTTGAGCCGAGGCGGTCAAAGCTGCAATGAGCCAGACTGTGCCACTGCACTCCAGCCTGGGTAACAGAGTGAGACTGTCTCCAAAAAAAAAAAAAAAAAATCCATTTTCTGCCATACCTATTTTATGTAAGTTTGTGCACACAACACATATACGTGTATATGTTTTTGTGAAACCATGCTAGTCACTTTCAATTAAATCCTCTCTTAGTGTTTTGTATGAATATTACGTTGCAAATATTAAAAATTTAATATTAAAAAATATTAAAGCTTACTAAAAGGAAGCTTGAAATTAAAAAGTTTCACTCAAACTAAAATGTGAGAGAAGAGGGAGACCAATAGTTATGAAAGGTTGGGCCAGCTGTAGGGGCTACTCACGCCTATAATCCCAGAACTTTGGGAGGCTGAAGGAGGATCGCTTGAGCCCAAGAGTTCCAGACTAGCTTGGGCAATATAGTGAGACCCCCGTCTCAACCAAAAACCAAAAACAAAAAACAAAAAAACCCCAAATTAGCCAGATTTGGTGGCACATGTCCGTGGTCCCAGCTACTTTGGGGGCTGAGGTGGGAGGCTTGCTTGGGCCTGGGAGGTCCAGGTTGCAGTGAGCTGTGATTGTGTCACTGCACTCCAACCTGGGTGACAGAGCAAGAGCCTGTCTCAAAAAAAAAAAAAAGTTATGAAAACTTGAGATAACAGGCAATTTTAATTTTAGAAGTCCACTGTTTAGCACTGAACAGTCATGGCAAATTTCTACGTGATGGAAAATTTAAAAAGCAGTGCTACTCACCAGATGAGCCATAATGCTCAATTTGTGCAGCGAGGGCTGCCGATTGAACAGCACCACATCTCCATCGATGAG
This sequence comes from Homo sapiens, assembly GCF_000001405.40. Lineage (NCBI taxonomy): Eukaryota > Metazoa > Chordata > Mammalia > Primates > Hominidae > Homo > Homo sapiens. The sequence continues at coordinate 78,017,647 of NC_000010.11, forward strand.
GTGTCTCTCTACGATGTCACCATACTTGAGCTCTTGAGCCATCTTTTCTCGATTTCCGTATTTCAAAAACCTGAATGTGCAACAATAAACATGATCTGTGAAAGCAAAGTTCTCTCACCAAGTTTCTCCCTCTTCAGATCAGGATTCAATCTTTAATATATTATTTCATCAAATCTAAGATGCCTCCATTTTAATGTCATATAGTTTTATGTGCCAAGAAAAAAGCTCCCTATTAAACTATGACAGGGTGGGCGAGGTGACTCACTCTTGTAATCTCAGCACTTTGGGAGGCTGAGATGGGCGGACTGCTTGAGCCCAGGAGATTGAGAACAGACTGGGCAACATGGTGAGACCTTGTCTCTACAAAAAATACAAAAATTAGCCAAACGTGGTGGGGTGTGTGCCTTTAATCCCATCTACTTTGGAGCCTAAGGTGGGAGGATCACCTGAGCAGAGGAGGTGGAGACTGCAGTGAGCCATGATTGTGCCATTGCGCTCCAGCCTGAGTGACAGACTGAGACATCAAAAAAAAAAAAAAAAAAACCATGATAAATTGATCTTAAGATATATCCAGTCGGATGTGGTGGCTCATGGCTGTAATCCTAGCACTTTGGGAGGCTGAGGCAGCTGGATCACCAGGTCAGGAGTTCGAAACCAGCCTGGTCAACATGGTGAAAACCCGTCGCTACTAAAAATACAAAAATTAGTCAGGTGTGGTGGCGGGTGCCTGTAATCCCAGCTACTCGGGTGACTGAGGCAGGAAACTTGCTTGAACCTGGGAGGTGGAGGTTGCAGTGAGTCAAGATCGTGCCACTACTCTCCAGCCTGGGTAACACAGCAAGACTCTGTCTTGAAAAAAAAAAAAAAGACATATCCTAATTTTAGAAATGCTAAAAGCCCTGAGAGCCCAGGTGACACAGGCAATGATCCACTTTATATATTTATTGTATTTCTGAGACAGAGTCTTGCTCTGTCGCCCAGGCTGGAGTGCAGTGGTGTGATCTCAGCTCACTGCAACCTCTGCCTCCTGGGTTCAAGTGATTTTTGTGTCTCAGGCTTCTGAGTAGCTGGGACTACATACGTGTGCTACCGTGCCCAGCTAATTTTTGTATTTTTAGTAGAAAAGGGGTTTCTTTGCCATATTGGCCAGGCTGGTCTTGAACTCCTGGCCTCAAGTGATTTGCCCACCTTGGCCTCACAAAGTGCTGGGATTAAAGGTGTGAGCCACCAAGCCCAGCAATAATGATCCTCTTTAGACTTTAGTATCCATGGTATTTTGTCCTCCTGGATCCAATAACATTACAAGCCTGAGAACAAAGGAGCACTTCATGTATATTCAATGACTGAACAGAGCAAATGACATACCTTGGCTCACGGAAATTTAAACAGATATTTTCCACATGCCAAAATGTCACGCAAACTGTATTTCTGGATTGCATTCTGTGGCTGAGTATGACCACAGTGAGCTTTGCCATGAGAAAGTAGTTAAATCCAACTAGATTGGGAAAAGATTACCTTTTCATCTGCGTATGTCTCTGCTGAATGAAGTTTGCTCCTGGGTGAACCTCAGGGCCGTTTTGAACCAGTTTCCTCAAGAAATTGATGTTTGCTTTGTTTACCTGCAGTACAAAAAAACCACAATAAGTTACTCCCAGGTAACTAGAAACTAACAAATGATACTGAAATGCGTCTTAATCTTTACTTTCCTTGTTCAGATTCTAGGAGAAAGAGAGGCATCCTGGGCAGCCTGCTGCCTATGGTCTTGAGTATAATGTGAACAACAGACTGGCAAACAAGCTTCCAGCTTCCAGTGTCAACTCAGCTGTTTGCTCACTGAGTGACATGGCCAATTCCTTTCCTGGTGCTTGGTTTCCTCACTGGTAAAACGGGTAGGCTAGACTGATCTATAGGAACCTTCTGTGATCCTAGAAACAGGTGGCGACTTGATCTGCAATAACTTACTGGGGGCTTGTAAGGTTTAAAAGTTGTGACACCAGCACCACAAGCCCTGGTCTGCATTGAATGTGTTCTGGAACCTCTTAAACAACTGTCTTGTGGAACACCATTTTGGAGAAGTTAACTCTTGGATCATTAGTAACTCAACTGAGGACACACAACACAAGCTGACCAGGAACATCTATGATCTGGGCTAACTGTGAGTCTCATAGGTAAAGCTAATCAATATTCTCGTTAGCAGGCCCTGCAGTTACCTAGACCTCAATTTAAAAAAAAAAAAAAAAGTATGGGCTGGGCATGGTAGCTCACGCCTGTAATCCCAGCACTTTGGGAGGCCGAGGTGGGTGGATCACTTGAGGTCAGGAATTCAAGACCAGCCTGGCCAACGTGGTGAAACCCCGTCCCTACTAAGAATATAAAAATTAGCTGGGTGTGGTGGTGGGTGCCTGTAATCCTAGCTACTCAGGAGGCTGAGGCAGGACAATCACTTGAACCCAGGAGGTGGAGGTTGCAGTGAGCTGAGATTGTGTCACTGCACTCTAGCCTGGGCAATAGAGTGAGACTCAGTCTCAAAAAAAAAAAAAAAAAAAAAGTGCTAGCTGGGCACAGGGCCCTGTAATCTCAGTGACTTTCAGTGACTTGGGAGGCTAAGGTGGGATGATCACTTGAGGCCAGGAGTTCAAGACCAGCCTGGGCAACATACTGAGAATCCCATCTCTAAAAAATTTTTTTAAAAAATTAGTTAGGCATAGTGGTGTGCATGTGTAGTCCTAGCTACTCGGGAGGCTGAGGCATAAGAATGGCTTGAGCCCAGGAGTTTGAGGTTACAGTGAGCCATGAGCACACCACTGCACTTCGGCCTGGGTGACAGGGCGAGAGTCTGTCTCTTAAAAAAAAAAAACCAGGCCGGATGCGGTGGCTCATACCTGTAATCCCAGCACTTTGGGAGGCCAAGGCGGGCGGATCACGAGGTCAGGAGATCGAGACGATCCTGGCCAACATGGTGAAACTCCGTCTCTACTAAAAATACAGAAAATTAGCTGCGCATGGTGATGGGCGCCTGTAGTCCCAGCTACTCGGGAGGCTGAGGCAGGAGAATGGCGTGAACCTGGGAGGTGGAGCTTGCCGTAAGCAGAGATCACGCCACTGCACTCCAGCCTGGGCGACAGAGCGAGACTCCACCTCAAAAACAAAAAATAAAATAAAAGCCTTTCTGGGTATGTAGCAATAGCCTTAAAATGTTCAAATGCTTTGACTCAGTGACTGTAAAGTTTTAAAAATAAAAAATCTATCCCAAGAAAATTAACTATGGATAATGTTTACCATTTAGTTAGTTTAAAATATGAGGCATGAACCAACATAGAAAAGTGTCTACTTTTTTTTCTTAAAGATGGTCTCACTCTCACCCAGGCTAGAGTGCATTGACGTGATCTTGGCTCACAACCTCCACCTTCCATGCTCAAGCAATCCTTCCACCTCAGTCTCCCCAGTAGCTGGGACCACAGGCGCCTGCCACCACTCCTGGCTAATTTTTTGTATTTTTGGTAGAGACAAGGTTTTTACTGTGTTGCCCAGGTTGGTCTTGAACTCCCGGGCTCGGATGATCCACCTGCCTTGGCCTCCCTAAGTATTGGGATTACAGGCATTAGCCACCATGCTCGGTCAAGATGTTATTAATTGGAAAAAAAGTTGCAAAAAAGTATAGCATATATATGAGTAAATACACATGAAACTAGAAACAACTGTGGCTGCAAATGGTTTACAGAATATATACCACCAACTATGTATAAAGCAAACTGGGAAGACACATACACTCATATAAACCAAACTGTGGGTTGAGTGGGTTACTGGGGACTTTCTACTGCCTGTTGTTTGCAATACCAAAATATAACGTAAAAGACTGAATTTAAAACAAAGAATTGAGCAGCTGAGTGGTCACTTACCTTCTCAGGAAAAGTTAGAATTTTGGCCACATGAACTGGCACAGCTACCTCATCAATCCGGAGGTTGGGGTCGGGCGAGATGACTGTTCTGCCAGAAAAATCCACTCTCTTTCCTGAGAGATTTCCTCTAAATCGACCTAAATAGCCAAAAACATGTCATAGGTCCCCATGGCATACCATGTGCTCATGGGAACAATAAGAACGGAGAGACTGAGGAAAGCCTGTGACCTCCAATCAGAGAAGCTGGACAGACACTCCTGAAAAAGGAACCAAAGAGAGTGGGCTGGCTTCTGCACATCTTGTGGGAAACCTACCCTGTTTTCCCTTCAGGCGTTGGA